>NC_000001.11:248608364-248777393 GCF_000001405.40 Homo sapiens
TATTTTTTATCATTTAATATAAATAAAATTCAAAGACCGGCCTAATACCACTATATTGTGATATTTTGCCTAGATTTCCTAGTAATTCTAACTTAGACACACACAGTACCATATTTTTGTGGGACATATCTGGATATAGAAAATACTATATCACATTTTGAAAAAGTATCTGCATGTACATTTTCATTCTAATCATTTACATGTATTTTTCAACCACAATATTTATGTTTGACCCTTTTTGTTGGTTTCCAAATCCACTGACACTTTTTAACCTCTCTCTTTATTTTCCTCAGGATTTTTAAGCCTCTTTTTCTGGTCCTTCATTATTTTTAAGCTGTTTCTCTTCATTTGTTAACATATTTTTATTTTACTTTTATCTTCTATTTATTCTCTAACATCTGTCACCTCAGTATTGATTTCTGTTTTTGCTTTATACCGATTCCTTTGACCCTCATGTAGCATTTGAATTCTATTACAAAGAAATATCAGATTTCATTTCAACTTTATTTCAAGGGAACCAACTTTTCATAATTTTGGTAGATATTATGTTGTATGTTTTCTATTTTGCTTTAGCTTTCTTTTTACTTTTGATATATGATGTTGCCTAAAACGAAATATTTAAGTAAATGTATTTCCATTCCTAGCTACCTATGTGTTTTAGGCAGATATGAGTTTTGAAATGTATTTGAAACCTTTTGGATCCTTTATATATGCTACATAGCTTTCATAGGACACCAAGCGACGCAATGTTTTACAGCCTTGTCTTGTATATTCTGTCCTATCCATTGTTACATGTCTGAGACCAAATTTGGCTGTTTTTATCATTTCTCTTAAACATCAGAACCTCATCTCCATCATTTTTCTGTAAACCTTGCTTTGAATTCTTCAGTCTCTCCTATCTTTAGTTATCTAATAACACATGCAATTTAATTCAGACTGATAAAGGATATTGTCTTAAATCTTTCTGCCTCTCTTTTGTCCTTACTGTGCCCCCAGTGACCAGCATAGGAATGGGCACAAAGCAGGCACCTGACTGTGGAGTGAATAAACCAATGCCTGGCAACATTTAGAATTTATAATCGGCAAATCCACTACTTAATTATATTGAGAGGATTAATTTAAAACAATCAACTTGAAAACAGTTAAAATGGTAGCTCAGTTCATTTACTGAAAACAAAGGAAGCATTTTAAACAATTCTCTTGGTCTTCGTAACCTTTCGGGACTAGCCCCCTAATTACCTGCAAGAATAGAAGAGCCCAGGGACCTCCTGAGAAGCCCAGTTTCCTCCGTGTTCCTTATGCTTTTTCCCTTCGTGGAAAAAAGTGATTGCACCTTTCTTTCCATTTCCTAATTCTACATCATGCCTTGTATTTAGCTGGAGACTCACTCAGAGTGGGAGAGCCTGAGAGAAGAGCTGGAGACAAGCAAGGTCTGCAGGGGATTCCAGGGCAGGCCGGCCCATGACCTGGCCAGCCCTGCCATGACCTGCTTTCCCACCCAGGTAAGCTGCTTACACTTCCGAGGTGAAACTATTAGAAAATTAAGAAAAAAAAATTAGACGTGTGTAAATTTAGGAGGCACAACATTTCCCTGGAGTTGAAGGGAACTATACTAAGTTCTACAGAACTTGAGTATTTGAAGATGCTTAAATTATCATTGTGCTCTATTCAGCCACAAGGATCTTGTGCTATAAATTTATCGTAGAATTTGCTGTTAAAACACACCCACACTAAAGAAGCCACCACATTACTCTATTTGTGACTTTTGTTGCAGAAATATTACTATACATTTATTTTTCATATTTCAGCTGTGAATTTTTAAAATCACATTCAAAGGCATGAAGAGTTAGGTAGTGAATTGTTTACTAAAGTGTCATTTTAAAAGAAATTCAAAAGTTTGTTTTACAAGTTTAAACATTTCATGTATACTAATCAGGGTCAGCCTTAATGAAGCTATGGTCTACTTAGAATCGAAACCTGCATATTAAGCTATTAAATGTTACTCAACAAAGTCACTGAAAATTTCTAGTGCCATAATCTGATGAAAACAGAAAAGTTATTTCTCCTCAATAGATTGTCAATGGTTATGGTAAAAAATTAACCAGTGAAATGTGTGGTTCCTTGGCACGACTGCAACACAATTCTGGGAAAATACTACAAGTCTCAAACTTTCCATTGTGATTCACTGAACTAAGGAAGCATTACTCAGTAAATTATTATGAAAATTTAGTAAAAAGTTAGGTGAAACTAGGTCCTGTTATCACATTAATTTAAAATATCAAATCGATTAAAGGTTTACATGTGGAAAATAAAAATATAAAACAAGACACATGAATGGGTAAAGATTTAGCTAAACGGTGAGCAAAGGCAATGAAGAAAACATGGAAAGTAAAATTAGTATTTGAAAACTGAAAACAATCTCTGAATAAAACAAATTTTTTCTAATTAGGAAATTTATGGTTCACATGACGAATCAAAGGCTGAGGATCGGTAATGTGTAAGATTCTCTTGCATATTCATAAGACAGACATGGCAATTTTTAAAATGACACAAACATGTTAGTAAACAATTTGTGGAAGACTTGTACATACAAAATAAGACAATGACAAAAAGCACAAAAATGTCCATTAATTTGTTGAATAACAGAGAGGCAAAAAAATGTGTGATTATCAGTGTTGCTGTGAGTCAGTGAAAACACCAGTGCGGCCTTTTGTGGTATGCCGGGGTAGATCACTGACGGGTACAACCCGAGTATATGAACATGAAAGGGACACTGTTTAATAAAAATGTAATAACCGATACAATAAAGGAATTCCTTACACAGATATTCATTATAGTATTGTTTTAGATTAGTAAAAAATTGGAAGAAATCTACATTGGAAATAAGAAAACTCAGATTCTGTTATTAAGGTAAATTGTGAAGTTATATTCAAAACAATATTTTTAAAAAGTAAACACTGAAAATATGTACACAAGAATATTTATGCAGATGTAGAGCTATATACAGCATGATTCTAATCTATAGTATTTTAATATATCTATGTATCTATATATTAAAAATATCATTTTCTCCCACAAAAAATAAGTATGTGAGATGGATATGTTAATTATCATGACATGGTCATTCCACAATGTGTACATGTATTGAAATATCTCACTGTACCCAAATATATATACAATTGTCAATTAAAAACAATTTTCAAAATCCTATTTTGAAAATTTTTATTCTGACTTGATCATTATACAATGTATATATGTGTCAAAACATCACCCCATACCCCATAAAAATATACAATTGTTATGAGTCGATTAAAAACAAAATAAACTAAAATTTTTACAAAGAAAAAATTTTATAGTAAATGTGGTAGGATTTATTTTATACCTTTATTTCTCCTTTTAGTTCCATCTATGTCTTAAATTATGTATAGCACTCACAGATGTATTTATAGAGTGAAAAAGATGTTTTAAAAAGATAATATAGTTTTAATCATAAGAAATTATTGACATGAATTTTTTTTGTCACCACGCAGGGCCCCCTGGTTTGGGCCCAAACACAGCTGCCCCACTCTGGGCTGACCACACCTATTGGTAGCAGCTCTGCATTTCTCTGGGATGGGGCCCAAGAAACATGTGAAAGGCCCTCTTCCACAACACTGCCAGGACCCTGCTCACACTGCCTCCAGGCTGAGGGGAACATAAAGCCTGAGTCACCCCAGAGGTGTGGCCTGTAGCCCAGGAGTACCAAGCTGAGATCTACAGCCAGCACTAAAGGAGGAAGAGGAGCCCACACTTTCAGAGCACTGAGAGGGAGCAAGCCTGCAATTGTGAGAAAATAGGCCCTTGTTCAGCCCCACGGCTCCTCTATCTACCGGCCATTATGCTTAAGCACCATCTACTGGATCACAGCCCAAACTTCGACACCAAAAATACTCTAATATACCTCCCCATGAAACCAAGGCCAAGAACTCAGCTATGAGTAAAGACCCTGCACAAAGCCTTGGGCCCTCTGAAAACATCCAGAAGTCAACTGACTGTACTCAAGTTACACCACAGTGAAGGGGACATGAGCCCACACAGATGAGAAGGAACCAGTGCAAGAACTCTGGCAACTCAAAAAGCCAGAGCATCTTTTCTCCAAACAAATGCACTAGCTCCCCCAACTAGGGTTCTTAAGTAGTCTAAAATGGTTGAAATGACAGAAATAGGATTCAGAATATAGATAGGAATGAAGACCATCAAGATTCGGGAGAGAGTTGAAACCCAATCCAAAGAATCTAAGGATTACAATAAAATAATACAGGAGTGATCGATGAAATGGCCATTATAAGAACCAAACTGATCTGTGAGAGCTGGAAAACACACTACAAGAATTTCTTAATACAGTTACAAATATTAATAGCAGATAGGACTAAGCTGAAGAAAATCTCAGAGCTTGAAGATGTACTCTAAACTCAGAAAAAATTAAAAATTAAAAAGAGTGAAGAAAACATCTGAGAAATATGGAATTATGTAAAGAGACCAAATCTATGATTTATATGGTATCTCTGAAACAGAGCGGGAGAAGACAAGCAATTTAGGAGACACATTTCAGGAAATTGTCCATGAAAATTTCCCCGATGTTGTTAGAGAGGCCAATATTCAAATTGAGAGCACTGAGAGAGAACACATTTGGTCTCCCCTGTGAGCCCTTTGTCCTCTTGCTCATCACCAGGAAGGGCCCCCCTGGTTTAGGCCCATGACACAGCTGTAACACTCTGGATCAATCACACCTATTGGTAGCAGCTCTGCATTTCTCCATATTCATGTGGGGTAAAGTGTGGTTGGTCGGAGGAAGGTAGACACTCTGGCAACTCAAAAAGCCAGAGTTCTTGCACTGGTTTGTTCTCATCTGTGTGGGCTCATATCCCTTTAACTGTGGTGTAATTTGAGTACAATTAACTTTTTTCTGCAAGACACAACACAAGAAGTCCATCACTAAGATACATAGTCATCAGATTCTCGAAGATGGAAAACAAGAAAAATGTTAAAGGCAGCTAGAGAAATGGGGCAGGTCACCTACAAAGGAAACCCCATAAGCTAACAGCAGATCCTTTAGCAGAAACTCTACAAACCAGAAGAGGTTGGGGGCCTATGTTCAGCATTCCTAAAGAAAAGAATTTTCAACCACGTATTTCATATCCAGCCAAAGGAAGCTTCATAAGCAAAGGAAAAATAAGATTCTTTTCAGACAATGCTAAGGGAGTTCCTTACAACCAGACCTGCCTTACAAGAGGTCCTGAAAGGAGTGTTAAATGTGGAAAGAAAAGACCATTACCAGTCACTACCAAAACACACTTAAATACATAGACCATTGACACTATAAAGCAACCACACAAACAAGCCTGCAAACAAACAAAAAAACACCTAGGAATAGGATGACAGGATCAAATCTACACATATCAATGTTAATCTTGAATGTAAACAAGCTAACTGCCTCAAAGGGCACAGAGTGGGAAGCTGGATAAAGAAGATTCAAAGGTATGCTGTCATCAAAAGACCCATTTAACATGCAATGACACCAATAGGCTCAAAGTAAAGGGATGGAAAAAAATCTACCAAGCAAATGGAAACAAAGAAGCAAGGGTTTCGATTCTAGTTTCAGGCAAAACAGACTTCAAACCAGCAAAGGTCACAAAAGACAAAGATGGCCATAATATAATGCTACAGGTTTCCATTCAACAAGATCTAACTATCCTAGCTATCTATGCATACAACACAGAAGCACCCAGGTTCATGAAGCAAGTTCTTAAAGACCTACAAAGATACTCAGACTCCCATACAATAATAATGGGAGATTTCAGCATCCCACTGACAGTATTGAGGCAAAAAGCTAACAAAGAGACTTGAGACCTAAACTCAACACTTGGCCAAATGGACCTAATAGACATCTTCAGAACTCTGAACCCCAAAACAGAATATACATTCTTCTCACGTGTACACAGCATATACTCCAAAATTGACCAATCGGACACAAAACAATCCTCAGCAACTTAATTATACCAACCATATTCTTGGACCACAGTGCAATAAATAGAGATCAATACTAAGAAAATCACTCAAAACAAAGTTATATGAAAATTAAATATGCTAATGGTGACCTTTTTGTAGACAACAAAATTAAGGCAGAAATCAAGAAATTATTTGAAACTAATGAGAACAAAGGTAAAATATACCAGAATCTCTAGGATGTAGCTAAAGAAGTGTTGAGGAGTCTGCAACACTAAATATCCACATGAAAAAGTCAGAAAGACCTAAAATTAACAACCTAACATCACACACTTAGAACTAGAGAAACAAAAGCAAACCAACTCCAAAACTAGCAAAGAACTAATCAAAATCAGAGCTTAATGGGAGGAAATTGAGATGTGAAAAACCATACGAAAGATCAACGAATCCAGGAGTTGGTATTTGAAAAACATAAAGAGACAAATAGACCACTAGATAGACTAAGAAAAAAGAGAAGCTACAAATAAGTACAATCAGGATTGTCAAAGAGTTCATTACCAGCAACCTGACAGAAACACCAACCAAAGAAAACCCTCAGACTACTATGAACAGCTTTATGCTAGAGAATCTAGAAGAAATCAATGAATTCCTGGACACATACAACCTCTCAACATTGAATCAGGATGAAACAGAATCCCTGAACAGACCATTAAAAAGTTCTGAAATTAAATTCACAATAGAAAGCCTGCCAACTACAAAAAGTCCAGGACCAGACAGATTCATAACTAAATTCTGCAAGAGGTACAAAGAAGAGCTCATATCATTCCTACAGAAAGTATTCCAAATAATTGAGGAGAGACCCCTCCCTAACTTATTCTATAAGGCCAGCATCATCCTGATCTCAAAACCTGGCAGAGACACACACACAAAAAGAAAAACTTCAGGCCAGTATCTTTGATTAACAGATGCAAAAATCTTCAACAAAATACAAATAGAATCTAACAGCACATCAAAAAGTTTATCCACCGTGACCAAAGTAGGATTCATCCCTGGGATGCAAGGTTGGTTCAACATCACATCACATAGAATTAAAAACAAAAACCAAATGATTATCTCAATGATTCAGAAAAGGCTTTTGATAAATTTTAACTCCCATGTTAAAAACTCTCAATTAAACTAGTCATTGAAGAAATATACCTCAAAATAACAAATGCCTTCTATGAAAACTCCACAGTGATCATACTGAATGTGCAAAAGCTGGAAGCATTTCCCTTAAAAACCAGCACAAGAAAAGGATGCCCTCTCTCACCACTCCTATTCAACATAGTATTGGAAGTTCTGGCCAGAGCAATCAGCAAGAGAAGGAAATAAAAGACATCCAAATAGGAAGAAAAAAACCTCAAACTATCCCTGCTTGCAGACAACATGATACTATATCTAGTAAACCACATGGTCTCTGTCCCAAAGCTCCTTGATCTGATAAACAACTTCAGCAAAGTTTCAGGATATAAAATCAAGGTACAAAACTCAGTAGCCTTCCTATGCACTAACATTCATGCTGAGAGCCAAATCAAGAATGCAATCTCCTTCATAATAGCCACGAAAATAAAATATCTAGGAATACAGCTAACTGGAGGTGAAAGATCTCTACAATGAAAGTTACAAAACACTGCTCAAAGAAATGAGAGATGAAACAAATGGAAAAGCATTACATGCTCACGAATAGGAAGAATCAATACCATGAAAATGGTCATCCTGCCCAAGGCAATTTCCAGATTCAGTGCTATTCACATATAAAACTACCTATGGAATTCTTCACAGAATTAGAAAAAAATATTTTAAAATTCACATGGAACCAAAAAAGAGCCCAAATAGCCAAGGCAATTCTAAGCAAAAGAACAAAGCTGGAGGCATCACACTACCCAACTTTAAATCATGCAACAGAGCTACAGTAACCAAAACAGCACAGTACTGGTACAAAAACAGATATATAGACCAATGGGACAAAGTAGAGAGCCCAGAAATAATGACACACACCTAAAACCATCTGATCTTCAACAAGGTGAACAAAAACAAGCAATAGGGAAAGAACTCCGTGTTCAGTAAATGTTGCTAAAATAACTGTATAGCCGTAATGCAAAAGATTGAAACTGGACCCCTTCCTTATACTACATAGAAAAGTCAACTCAAGATTGATTAAACCCTTAACTGTAAAACCTAAAACCATAAAACATCTGGAAAATAACCTAAGAAATATCATTCTAGACATAGGACCCAGAAAAGATTTTACGGTGAAGATGGCAATAGCAAGGTCAAGCAAGGTCAACAAAAGTGAAAACTGACAAATGGGATCTAATTAGACTAAACAGCTTTTGCACAGTGGGCAAAGGATATTAACAGATACTTTTCCAAAAATGACTTACATGCAGGCAACAAGGATATAAAAAATGCTCAATATCACTAACCATTAGAGAAGTCCAAATGAAAACCACAATGAGATACCATCTCACACCTGTCAGTGTGTCTATTACTAAAAAGTAAAAAAATAACAGATACTGGTTAGGTTGCAGAGAATAGGGAATGCTTATACACTCCTGTTGGGAATGTAAATTAGTTCAGCCATTGTGAAAGTAGTTTGGCAATTTCTGAAAGAACGTAGAATTACCTTTTGACCCAAAGGAATATAAATCATTCTACCATGAAGTCACACACACACACATATGTTCTTCACAGCATCGTTCATAATAGCCAAGAAATGGAATCAACCTAAATGCACATCAATGGTAGACTGAATCAAGAAAATACTGTACATATACATCATGGAATACATGCAGCCAGAAAAAACAAGATCTTGTTTTTTGTGGCAATGTTGATGGAGCTAGAGGCCACTATACTAAGTAAACTAACACAAACAGAAAACCAAATACCACATATTTTCACTTATGAGTGGGAGCTAAACAGAGTACCTATGGACACAAAGAATAACAGACCCCCCCACCGGGCCTACTTGAGGGTGTAGGGAGGAAAGTGAGGACTGAAAACCTACCTATCAGGAACTATGCTTATCACTTGGGTGGTGAAATAATCAGTGACATGCAACTTACCTATATAACAAACCTGCACATGTACCCCTCAACCTGAAATAAAAGTTGGAAAAAAAACTTTAAAAAAGAGAGAACGTCTCAAGGACAAATGCTGTTAGAATAAAACTACCAATCCCGAATTGTAAACCCAGCTATACTATCATTCAAAAGTAAGGGTAGTTAGACAGGAGAAATAAGTTTAGATCTATTGTATAACATGATGATTACAGTTTATATCTACGTATTATATATTTATTTTCAAATTGCTAGATTTTAAATACTCCACCACTCAAAAATTATAGGATGTGAAGTAATTGATATGTTGATTAGCTTGATTTTGTCTTTCCAAAATGTGTATATATGTATATACATATTAAAACATTGGGTTGTACACCATATATACAATTGTCAATTAAAATATAAACTTAAAAATTTGAAAGAAAATGGTAATAAAAAATTAAAAGGATTAAATTAACAAAAGATATTTTCAGGCCTTTTTTGAAACATAAGTGTTTACCACTCAGTGAAGGGACTCTTATGTTTAAAGCATAAATACAGAAGAATCAAGATGTTGGGAGAAAAAACAGCAACAAAGTTTTGGAAGCTGGAAAGCCAAAGGAAACTGTTTTTGACTCAAAAATCTCAAAGCAGAACACTGAGCTGGTGAGTGGAGAAGTTCGGAAGCAAGTTGATTCCTGCTGGAAGAACTCCTAATCAGGTCTGTCTAAATATTACAGGTAACATTGAAATGGGAGGCTTGGCTAAAAGTTTGTATAAAAACTGTTATACACGCACTTTAGTTAGACAACCCTTCCTCCCCGACCTGACGCGACACTAACTTGGGAGGTGGTGGTGTACCCAAAGGGCTCTGGGATTGGAAAACAGACATTGCGTGGGTGTAAGTGGGAAGTCTGCACCCTACATTGTGAAGCACACCAGCACGTTTCCCCAACGTGGGTTCTCAGAATGCTGGCAGCCCCCAGAAAGATTTGCAGAGGAAGCAGACCATACCAAAGAAAATACCTAGGAATACTGACATTTGAGGTTTCCAAAATAAGTCATTTACATCATAGTTTAGTGACTCCTACTCGTTAAGGCTTGTCCTTATCCAGAGACTAACATTAGGAGAGAGACAGGGATTACAAAACTTGAGGAAAGCTTCTAAAATAAAAGGCAGAAATCACACAAATCAGTGAAAATAAGAAGAAATACAGTATGCAGTAATTAGAGAAACTCTTTCTATAAAAGATAACTGACTAATCTGCTATGACAGATAAGAACATACAAACAGATATTAAACTAGAACAGGGTGTTTTAAACAGAGCATTGGAGAAATTTTTAAGAGTTCTTGAACATTTAGATTATGGCAGTGTAGACTGTAAAGTAGGACAAGACAGATGCAAAAGAAGGTAGAAGAAGAGATCCAGTTTGTGAGTCAGGAGGCAAATCAAGTAATAAAAATTCCAGAGGAAAAGAATGTTTTAGATGGAAGGAAAGCACATATTTCAGTCATGTTTCAGAGCAAAAATTCTGGAATTGAAAGACACGTTTCAAGATTAAAAGGTTCATCAATTGCCCAACATAATTGTTAAAAAGAGCCCTTATGAAGACATTATGAATGTTTAACACGACTGCCAAAGGAGAGCCTGAAGCCTCCAGGGGACGACAACACAACTAAAATTGAGAGCATGGAACTCCCAGGAGAAATACTGAATGTTAGAAGACAATGGAGGAGGGACATCCTCATATTCATGAGGGAAAGCTTTTTTCAACCTACACATTGACACCTGGCCAGATCTACTGTCAAAGTGGGAGGATAAAAAAAGTCATTTTCAAACATGCAAGGCCTTTAAAAAATTTCCTCCCACGTACTTTGTTTATAAACCTGTTGAAAGACATGCTCCACAATGGGGAGGTTTTAAAGTAGAAGACGTGGTACACAGACAATCAAGAATCCAGAGGGTCATGGGGAAGAGGCAGCATCTCAGGAGGAGCCCCGTGCAGCGCAGCCCATCTCTGGGGCAAGCAGCCTGGATGGAAGCGGCAGAGCAGGGGCTGCAGAAGAGGGAGGGCTGTGAAGACGGCACCGAGAATTCCTGAGGGAGTCACAGTTTCAACAGGATATTTATCAGAAGGAGATTCTATATACATATATATATATACACACACACATACACATATATATAGAGATTAGTCAGTTTTCTTTCATGTATACATATATATGTATATATACACACACACCCATATATATGTATATACAAATACATATATCTCCTAGCTACTGGGGAGGCTGAGGTGGGAGGATTGCTAGAGACCAGGAGCTCAATCTCTTTCTTGACCCAGCTGGTCAAGAATGATTACCAACCCTCAAAACCTGTCCTGTCCCCACTCAGTCACCAAAGTGATTGTGACTCTGACTTCTGACATGGTATTCTATCAGTGTCAATCTTCCATCTCTGCTCTTTAGACCTATCTGCCTCTCAGAGCATGCTCACAGGAGACTGAACCACACAACCTGCTTGTGCCCCTTAGAGTCCTCTTGTAGCCCAGCTTGCCCTCTGCACTTGCTCTTCTGCATATCACTGATGGCAGCTAGTTTTGGGACCTTGTTCACCAAGTCAGGTTTTGAGAGGTGAAGTCAAATTTTGTTCATAACTACTCTAGGCTCTTCATTAATGGCTGGGACTCTGGAAATAAGCTCATTCTGATGGAAAGGCTAATAAGGAATCTGTTTTCTTTTTAAAAATTCTTTTAATCTTCCCATTTTTGTGTCTTTTCTCTTTACTGGTATTTGAAATGCACATCTTTGTAACCAGGTCACAAGAATGATTTTGCTTGGATTGTTTGGTGGCCTCAGACATAGGGTTCAGAAGCATCTTTCAATGTCATTATCTTTTTATCAGATCTTGAATTGCTTATTTGTTGTTTGTGTATGTTTATGTCCATGGGCACTAATATGGGTTCTTCTCACTACAAAAATCAGGGTCCCCTTCCTAAAATTCCGGCTAAATACTAAAGGGTTTTAAACCAAAAGTAAAATTCTAAGCCTCCCTCAACCATCTGAATAGGGCCCTCGTCTCAGCAAAGGCATTCCAAAGTTAACCTGATAAACTAGTTCAGGCCATGATAGGAAGGAAGAGCTTGACATGCCTCAGGATACCCTCCCTCCCTTTTGGAATTACTGATAGAACAGATTCTTTAAGACTTAAGTCTAATTAAAAAACATTTACAATCTTCTCTCTGAAGCCTGCTTGTTGGAGGCCTCATCTACAAGATCAAGTCTTGGTCTCCACAAACCCTTACCATAACCAGACATTTCTTTCTACTGATAAACAACTCTTTCAGCTAATTGCCAATCAGAAAATCTTTGAATCTGCCTCTGACTTAGAAACTCCTGCTTCCAATTGTTGTGTGTTTCCAGGTCAAACCACTGTACATCTTATACATGTTGACTGATGTCTTATGTCTCCCTAAAATGCGTAACACCAAGTTGTCCGGCCACCTCAGACCCGTGTTTCTCAGGATCTTCTGAGGGTGGTTCCATGGGCCATTGGTCACTCATTTGGCTCAGAATAAATCTTAAAATACAGGGTTTGACTTTTCATCGACAGGGTATACAATTTATATAATTTTCAATGAATAGTAAAAATTAAACTGTAGTATTTAGGAATATTTATCCAGTCATGCAAGAAGAAATCCAGGGAATAATTACTATGAAATTCATTTGGCAAAATAACTGACCAATATTCTTCGCTGTCAAGGCCCAACTAAAGAAATGTTAGAAACTTAACTGAAATGAGTGAGAATTGCTCAGTCAAGTTTCATTAAGCCAATATTAGAGTATGTCTAGAAAAATAAGCCACAGACACACCCATGGCCATTTTTCCAAAGAGGTTTTTAGAACACTCAGTACGTATATATTTTCTTAAGGTGGGGGAAGGCATATAGGAAGACGGGCGGGTTGGTGGTAAGGTCAATGGTTACGTTTCTGTGAGACTTCAGTTAGTGCCCAGTAAATGTACATTTTACACAGGATAAGGTGAATGTCTGAAGAGATAGAAGGAGCCAAGGAAGAGTCAATTATGCAGAAGTCCCTGGGTAGGTGGAGGAATGATTTGTCTCATCCGGTCTTTCTTCTGCTCCTGGAAAGAAGCTTGTCATCAACATTATCAGTGTGCAATTGAGCAGACAGAAGAGTTCAAGACCAGCCTGGCCAATATGGTGAAACCCTGTCTCTACTAAAAATACAAAAAATTAGCCAGGCATGGTGGTGGGTGCCTGTAATCCCAGCTACTTGAGAGGCTGTGGCAGGAGAATCACTTGAACCCAGGAGGGGAGGTTACACTGAGCTGAGATCATGCCATTGCACTCCAGCGTGGGCAGCAAGAGCAAAACTGTTTCAAAATAATGTCAGCATTAAGAGAAATTGAGTGACGGCCACATTGGAAGCTCATTGTGCTAATTTTGCACATTTTTGCATGTCTAATAGTTCAAATGAAAGTTAGAGACATTTAGAATAATGCCTGTTTTTGCCCTGGGGCATGTGCGGTGATCAAACAAGAGCGCCCTGGAGTGCTGGTTATGTTCCGTTTCTTGATGGGGTGCGGGGTTATTTCATGAATGGTTTCACAACTGTTTTCTTGAGATGATTAATAATGAGTTTTGCATGGCATTTCTAGTGTTATATTTCATAGTATAAGAAGAGATTAACGCTGATTTATAATGTGATTTTCTTAGAAGCCCTGCTGTTGCCTGCGTCATTAAGTGGTGATTCAATTCACTCCCTAAAATTACAAAGTGGCTGGAATTAAATATCCCCAAGCAAAGACTTCTTTCCTCTATGTTGTAGCAAATTCAGTAACTTTTCAAGTTTTACCAAATAAAGTGAGGGATATTAACTATAATATTTAAAGCTATTAAATTCTATCTATAATTACAGAAATATATATGGAGAAACAAACTTTTTGGCAAATTATTTGGCAATAAATAATCATAGATTCAAGGTTTTTATACAATTCATTGTATTTTTTCCAATTGATTCTGGAGGGATTACAGAGTAAAAATAACTGCTAAAATGCAGAAAATGTTTAATAACAAAAATGATGTCACCATCAGTCCAAAGGTACCGATATTATTCATTTTTTTTTTTTTATTCTCCTAATGATACATGCAGTTTTAAAGAATAGAGAACACATGGTGTTGTTTTAGGATAATGTCATATTACTAACTGGCCACAAGGTGTCAGGAGGAGGATGTCATGGTGTCCCATAGTAACAATCACTTGGGACTTCATATTCATGTATAGATTTCTTCTTCCTGTACAGATAGATCAGCAAGCCAAGAGAAAGTGGGGAGATATATAACCATCTTAGACGCAATCGCAAATGTCTCAGTGCAGTACCTGAGGTAGAAGCTATTCAACGAATCAAGGAACTCCTGATGAGAGCTTTGCCCAGGGAACCCACAGAAGACGGCTTGGCTAGATCACTCAGGCAGAGCCCCCATGGCCTGAAGGAGCAACAGTTGTAGGCTTAGAAAATATCTGCTCTAAGAAGCCTCTTCCTCATTCTTCAACTATGATAGACTCTGAGCAAGATAGTAAACTATGGCACAGAGAGGTTAGGTAACATGCTCAGGGCACACAGCCCAGAAAGAAATAGGCTAATATTCAGACTCCAGGGGGTTCAAGCTCCAAGCATATGGCCTTATCACCCTTAAATTGCCTTTGAAATTGGCAGATGGGGTGGAAATAATTAAAGAACAGTTAAATATTCATGGGGAAAAAACCTTATAAAAAGCTGTTCAACATCTGAACAATCTGTTGCTGGGCATATATGCTGGTATCACACAGTATTTTAGTGAAATCTGTGTGCCCATCTCCTCTTGGTGCCAACTACAACTAGGACACTCAGAGCAGGGACATTTTCCCACGCTAAATGGGAACCCATCACCAGAGAAGCCACCACCAAAGCCAAGATTACAGAGAGAATGTTTTAGGAGTAGGGTGGAATTTAACTTCTAAACGTAAATAATTAACATTTTGAAATGAAGTGACAGTGTCACCTTATAATGCAAAATCATGCCATATTATACAAGAAACTCCACACCATGAAGAATTCTGCCTATACAACTTTTAATTGCCCAAAGAGACAAATTTATTGAAATAAACAGCTACTGAACATCTATTACATACTGCAAATTATATGCCTTGGAAAAGCATAAATATGACACACTTTATTCACAAAGGAATAAGTTTGTAGTAGTAACAGCAGTTGCTGCTGTTATTTTGTCCTTGTTTTTAACATAATTCTAGTTAACATATTGAGTGCCTACTATTTTCTGGCCACCATCCCGAACACACATCATGAATCGTCTGACAAATGTGCTGTGCTAAATTCATAAATTCAATGCAAAGGAGGGGGAGTCCGAAGGTTGTCCTACAACCCAGATGTCTCTACTAGCTTATTAACTTACCTCTTCTCCAAGATGATTCTCTTCTCCTCTCAAACTTTTGACGGGACCACCCTGATCTTTACTCATAGACGCTCTCATTGATTCTAACTGCACCGAGAAGATACAAACCATCGGAAGGGATCTTAGTTATAACACACGCTCTGCCTGACCTCCTGCTATTGTCACTGAGTTGGCCATGCTCTTACAAAAGTTCAAACTCTCCACTTCTAAACTGGTTTCTGTGCTTTCGGCCACTCTCAAAGGCCATCTTTCTGAAACTTTCCTCCATTTCTCATATATCGATTTTCTTTTTGTACTGAATTATTCCTTTGAACTTCATACTCAATATCACATGACAGCACCATTAACATCAAACACATTGGTATCACGTTTTTCTAGTTATACTCCATTTCCTTTACAAAAAAATCTAAAAATTCATACTCAACTTACCTTATCCACTTCCTCCCCCTTGATTTTACCCTGAATCATCTCTAAGCATATCTCCATTAAAAATGGTCACTAAGGTTACAAGTAACCTTTCATGTTGCTAAATACAGTAACCAAATCTCACTTATTTCAACCATAGACTGCACTTGTTGCAGTTGCTTTTACTTTCTTTAAACACTTTGTCTTAGATTTCTTCTAACCTCATAAAACCCTATCTTTCTAATTTTTCATGTGACGCCAGCTGCCTCAGATCTCAGTCTCAAGCTTTCTCTTAAGAAAACTCTCAAAAAACCTGTTTTTAAATGCTCTTCGTACTCTGATTATTAAATGTATGCTTTATGTTCAGAACTCTAATCTGAAGTACAATTGACTTTACATATAGCTTCAATATCTTTCTGTATTTATGTATTTATCTTGAGACAAGGCCTCTCTGCCAGTCAGGCTGGAGCACAGTGGTGCCATCACGGCTCACTGCAGCCTCAACTTCTCAGCCTCCCGTGATCCTCCCACCTCAGCCTCCCAAGTAGCTGGGACTACAGGCATGTGCCACCACATCCAACTGATATTTGTGTTTTTGGTAGATGGGGTTTTGCTATGTTGGCAGGCTGGTCTCAAACTCCTGAGCTCAAGCAATCCACCCTCCTTGGTCTCCACTAAAGTGCTGGGAGTACAGGTATGAGCTACTGCACCCGGCCTAGCTTAAATACCTAATAGATATTTCCAAATTATCTTAAGTGAATTCTTGACTTCTGCTACCGACAAGTTTTCCAAATATCAATATTCCATTTTTTTATTCACTTGGGCCCAAACCAATAAGTTATCCTTCACTCTACACCTGTTGCTAACACACGCCAAATCCATGAGCCAAATCCTTTGTGTCCACACCCTACACAAGCCATCCTTGTTTCTCATCTCTGAAACCTCAATTGTCTTCCTGTATCCATGTTTGCCCTTTGTTCTATTTTCCTACACTGTAGGCATAGTGATGCTTTAAAAACGTGTCTGTTATCATGTAACACCCGCATGGAAAACTCCAGGGACTTCCCACCCCACTCAGTCAGTCTCAAAGTGCCTTAAGTGTTGCTGTTGAATCACAGAACTTGGAAAAGGGAAGTTTCTGGCCATGGATGTTAACGAACCTGGTATCCTGTTAATACATCCTCAAGGAAAGTGGCAGTCATGTTCTTTGATGCTAAGTGTTAGAGTCTATTCCCTGTGAGTAGCTGTGTCATGCTGAACCTCCACCCATTCATACTCAGTTCTGTTCAATTCACCACCATTTATTGTGGCCTAGTATTTGATAGCTGCTGTCTGTACTCAAGAGGGTCAGAGATTCAACGATAATATTAGAGCTTATAGTTACTTGGGGTTAATACTAAAATAAAAAACACGACTAAAGTGTGTGCTTTTATCTTCTTTGCCACTTGTGTATTGGCATTCTTTTACTCTATTGCTGCTAATCACAGAATTTGACTGTAAACATTTGATAGCTTTTGCAGGTTTCTTTCATTGTGTTGTTTAAACATGAACAAATGTTGTGAAGGAGATCTAGTTCAGAGTGAAAGGTTGCTGTGAACTCTAATATTTGGGGTTTTTCTTCCCTAAATAAAAAGACTAGATAAATTATTTAACTTCATAATAAACCATTTTTGATACTTCACTGAAAGATCTCTGCATAACAGTAAAACATCTTTCCCTTGCTCCCGAGGAGCAAGAATCCAGACAGGGTGAATCATCTTAACTGCCAGTAGTAAGTGTAGGTTGATAGCTGAGCAGATCATCTCCAGGGAAACAGGGCAAATGGAGGAAGTCCTTAGGAAGCCTTATCCTCTGGGCAGTGACTCTCTAAGCATCACTTGTTGCTACTTTCTGAGCAGATGAGCAACATGCAAATACCTTTTTAAATGCCCCTATGACGTCCTTGTTTCTGAGGCTGTAGATGAGAGGATTAAGCATGGGCGTGACAATGGTATAGAAGGCTGACACTACTTTGTCCTGCTCGGGGGTGTGGAAGGACTGGGGCAGCACGTATGTGTAGAAGGCAGCCCCATAGAAGATGCTAACTACAGTCAAGTGGGAGGAACAAGTGGTGAAGGCCTTTTTGCGACCTTCAGCAGAGGGCATGCGGTGGATGGTTAACAAGATGAGGGAGTAGGAAGTGGAGATGATAGAGATGGGGATGAGCAACATGAGGACACAGCAGATGTACATCAGAGTTTCATACAAGGACGTGTCTGCACAGGCCAGTTTCAGAACTGCTGGGATCTCACAGAAAAAATGGTTGATACTTCGGGAGCCACAGTAAGGGACATTCATGGTGATGGGAGTGAGCAGAAAGCCATCGAGGGAGCCCCCAAACCAGGCACCAGCAGCCAGCAAAAGACACTTCTTGCGGTTCATCAGGACTGGGTATCTCAGAGGGTTACAGACAGCCACGTAGCAGTCATAGGCCATGAGGCCCAGGAGGAAGAACTCAGAACCAATCATGGTCAGGTAGAGGAAGATCTGGATGCCACAGGCCACAAAGGAAATGATCTTCTCTTTAGAAACCATGTCTGCCAGGAGTTTTGGGACAGTGGTACAGATGAAAAGGGTGTCCATGATGGACAGCTGACTGAGCAGAAAGTACATGGGGGTGTGGAGGCGAGAGTCCACCTGAATCAAGAATATCATGACCAAATTTGCAGTCACGGCCCCCAAGAAAACAGCAAGGATCACTGTAAATACAATCCCGGCAGCCTCACTGTTCACCAGAAGCCCCAGGAGGGTGAAGTCAGAGGATGATGTGTTCGTCATTGATATGGCCCACGAGCGTCCCAGGGCAACGGGAAGACACAAGGACCAGGAAGGAGGCAAGAGAACACGGTCAAGATGGGAAAGGTCTGCAGTAGAGGTGACACTTCTGAGGGTACCGTCAGGATGAAGCTTCCAGGCTAGAGGCTAGAGAAGAACAGGCAGACCAACATGCACATCATGAAGCAAAAACCATGGCTGCATTTCCCTGTCAGAGAACAGCTCCTTCTATATTGCGTCTATGGTTCATCATGCTGCTGGAGGTTATGGTAACTGCGTGATACAATTGCTGTATGCTACACCAAGAATGGGGTTTTAACCATATCTGTTCTGTCCATGCTGCATTTCTTGTATCCAGAAAGTTATCCAGCCCATAGTAGGGTTAAGTAAATACTAGTTGGAAAAAAGGGTGATTCATTGACCAAATGGATAAAGGGGAGTGAAGTAAATCACTGAAGAAATGAAGGGTTAGGATAACTATTAGGGAACGTTTTATTCACGAAGCCCCATGTTTCTGTTCTATTTCTTTTTAATTATTTGTATAAGTTTAAGGACGACAAGTGCAGTGTCATGACATGGATGTATCGCATAGTGGAGTCTTGTCTTTTAGGGTAACCGTAAGTCAAATAGCGTAGGTTGTGCTCACATTACTAATTTCTCACCCCTCGCTCCGCTTTCACCCCCTACTCTTCCAAGCCTTCGATGCCTATTATTCCACTGTTTATGTCTAAAGTTGGGACTCCTCACTGTTCTTTGTGCTGTTTTGCTAACCTTTTTGCAGATCTTTCTTCAGATAAATTAGAAGGTAAAAAAAACTATTTGCAAAAAGCTCCCAGAATTAAGTTTTTAAAAAGCAGTTTATGACACTAAGCTGACTCCCTGCATTGCTCTCCATTGCTACTGTAGGTTTGGGAAATGGGCAGGGAAATTAAAGGAAAATGTTGGTAGGTTGAAGCTATGTCAGCAGCAGACACACAGGAGCAGGGTTCACCAAGCTACACGTCTGCCAGCACTTACCAGAACTGAGGCCAGAGCCAAACTCAGGCTTAGAAAGCTACGGAGCAGATACATGGAAATGTGACAGCAACAGGCCACCGTTTAAGAAGGAATTTTATCTTTAACATACCAGGTGGAAGATAGATTTAACTGTTAGACAAGAGAAAGAACCATACATGTAGTAAGAATCGCCCCCCTCTCCCCGCCAGCACCTCCTCCCCGGCATGGTAGGCCTCAGTGGCTTGAGTCTCAAACATTTGTGTAAAAATGAAAGTCCGATCAACGGGGGAGCCCGGATGCTGCAGGGTTTCCCCCCATTCACATGTTGCTAGACACACCTTGGCTCCACTATCTAGTGTTGCCAGATTTAGCAAAGATACAGGATTCTCAGCTATGTTTGACTTTCAGATAATCAAAAAATGTTTTAGTGCAAGTTCATAATGTTCTTAACACCAAAAAAAAGGGTTCACTGTACATCTGAAATTCAAATTTAGCTGGTTGTCCTTTACCATGCTGAAGTCATATCTGGTTTCACAAAGGTACCAGAATTGTTATGACCTTGAAAAGTGACCAGTAGAATCAGTACAAATAGAGTCTAAACAAAAAAGTTATTTACTAACATCAAAATTAAATTGGCTTACTCCCAATTTCCCTCTGATTGATATATTCATATTACTGTGAAAGGGGCTAAGGACTGTGGCCTCCTCTGTCAGGCCTCCCAGAAATACTCCGTGGTCAAAACTCTACTTCAGTGAGTCTTAGCCTCCTGATCCACTCCTGATCGTTTCAATTCTATTCCATTTCCCAAGGATAGTGAACACAAATATTGCCTAAAAATATATTCTGCTAATTCAAAGTCCAAAAATATAAAAGAAACATTCTATATTAGACTCCAAAAACTTCCTAATAGAATTAACCCACACTAAGGAGAAGAGAGCACATCTCTTTGTCATATTAAACAAATTCAAACATTTTATCCAAAATGTATAAAACAGTAAAAACAGGCCAGGTGTGGTGGTTCATGCCTGTAACCCCAGCACTTAGGGAGGCCAGGGCGGAAGGATCACTTGAAGCCAGGAGTTTGAGATGAGCCTGGGTAACAGAGCTCGTCTTTATAAAAAACTAGCCAGGCGTGGTGGTGCACGTCAGTCGTCCCAGCTACTCAGGAGGTCGAGTTGGGAGAATTGCTTGAGGCTAGGAGTTTGAGGTTACAGAGAGCTATGATTGTGCCACTGCACTCCAGCCTGGGTGACAGAGCAAGACCCTGTTTCTAAAAAAGAAATGAATAAGTAAAACTTATTTATTAACAATTAAAAACCTATAATATTTCTCATGTCCATAGCTAGTAGGTGCCTGGCTTAATCCATCATGACACATTTTACCCTGGTTGTTCCACGAACTTTCCCACGATCTCCCTGCTGTCTCATGAATCCCTCCAAGTCTAGTCTCAGCACAACCATCAAAGTCACATCGGGACCCGTGCATCCCGCCACGCCACTTTCTGCTTGAAACCCTGCAGTTGTGCTTTACATCATACATTAAGGCCCATCACGTTCTGAACATTTTGTCTTCTGAAATGATCTCCCGCCGACTCCAGTCTGTCTGTCCCTGGGCTGCAGCGACGGTGGCTTCCTTGTCCTCTGTCCCCACTTTGCAAGAGCCCTGAGCCCAGGCCATTGCCTCTGCTGCTCCCCTTGCCTGGGGCTCCTCCTCCAACCGTGCAAGGCCATCCATCCCCTCATGTACTTCAGGGCTTTGCTCAAAAGCCACCTGCTCAGAGGTCCTATGACTATTTTTCTTCACTTTTCTTAACACCGTCTGACACTACCTTGTGTTTTGTGTCTCTTCAAGCTAGAAAGTAAGCTTCATGTGAATAAGGATTTGTGCCTATTTTGTTAACTGTACTCTCACCATCTAAAGATACGACTGGCACATTGTAAATCTTTGAATAAATCATTTTTAAACACATTCAGCTAGCAAAAATGCAAATTATTTTATGCTTTTTAAGGAATACCTCTAGAATTCCTTCAAAACACCTCCTGATTTTATATAATGTGCTGAAGAGAAATAATTTTTTTTAATGCTAGGCACTTGTGTTTATCTTCAATGCAAAATAGACAAAAAAATGGGATCCACCAATATTTGATCAAAAAAAACTTCATTCTAGGAAAAATAAATAACAAGTTTCTAAGATCAGACAGCAATACAACTTCTAAATCATTAAGGTTTATATACAGTACAAATTTGAGACAATTACGCTCTGGTTTAAAATACTTATAGAGTAATTAAGATGTCAGCATAATTCACAAAAAAAGGAGGGACTTGCCACTTCTTCTGTCTTCTGAATCTGTCCTTGCTCTGACAGCTCTTCAACTCAGGTACCAATTAATAGGTTGAAGATAACTTTAGCTTCAAGTGTTATTATACACCCAGAGATTGTACTGCAGATGTTAATCTAGTTAGAATTCACCTTATGTTAAACAGATAAAATTGTGTATGATTTATTGCAAAATGTCATCTGCCTTCTATGATCAGAATTGTCTTCAATAATGCCATAGGGCTTATTAATTTGCTACTTAAATTGAACGACACTGTAATAGACTTAGTGTTAAATATAACCACATGTGGGCAGAATCATCTTCCACCTCCAGCAAAGGTCCTCATGTGCTAATGTCTGGAACCGATGAATATGCTCTCTTAAGTGGCAAAAAAGACTTTGTGGGTATGATTAAGAACTCTGAGATGAGGAGATTCTTCTGAATTATGCTGTTGGACTCAATTGCAAATGCCAAGGCCTTACATGGGAGAGAGGAGGAAGGAGAGTCAGAGACGTGATATGAAAACAGGTCGGAGGGACTCAGTCGGTCTCCGGGTTTGACGATAGAGGGGACCCCAAGCCAAGGAATGTAGATGGTCTCTAGAAACTGGAGAGGGCTAAGAAATAGATTATCTCCTAAAACCTCATAGAAAAGTAGGTAGCCTTCCCAACATCGTGATTTCAGTCCAGTGAGACCGGTTTCCAACTTCTGACCTCCAGGCTGTGATATTATGAACTTTGTGGTCATTTGGTACCACAGCCATAGGGAGCTTCTATGCTGATAAATGATTTTCTTACTTAGCTTTTAAACAAAACTGAGACATGTTGCAATAATGAATTGGCCAGCACTTGTGTAGTGCTTCTTGCTGGGTCTCAGGCACCGTGGACGTGTGCCAACGTTTCCACGTGCTCTTCACAGCACCTCGACGGGTCGATCACTAATTATCACCATCTCACAGCTGGTAAAACTGAGGCTCAGAGTCAGGTGGGAGGAGCTGGATCCAGGCTCAAGGACTCAACTTTTGTTTTTCATGCTCTCTGCCACTACCCTTAACTTCTCCCCAAAGATAATATCCCTTTGAGCATCACTTCCGTTTACAACCAGCCAAAGAGAAGTTAAATGAATGCAGGGTAAAAGGCCATAAACACACCCAAGGAAAAGTTGAATTTCTGATCACAAGTTGTCAACAAAGCAATAAAGTGACAACATGAAGTTAATAATTTTCCAGAAACACAAAATTCTCCCTAACTCTTGGGCAATTCTCAGTCATTACACACCTGCCTGCAGGTGTCTGGCTTTATACTGAGGTACATAAAAAAAATCTCATCAAATGTACCCCAAGAAAGGTCTTACAAATGCCACTCACACACGTCACTGTTGTGCAATTGCAGAGGGCAATGACTCATCTCCCAGCAGACATCATAAAGCCCCATTCAATAGGCATGTTTCCTGCACAGCATCACCGCTGTCAACATGAAGCCCTGTACGTACTATTCCCTGTTGGGGATCTGAGATTTGAAGATCTCTGTAATGTGGCAGAGTTCACTTAAGGAGAAAATTCCAATGTTTCTAGCATAAAGAAAATACAAATATATATTTAAGGTAATGGATATCTCAATTACATTGATCTTTACAAATCATATGAATGTGTTATCACATGTACCCTAAGAAAAAGAAAAACAGAATGACCCTTGAAGAATCTTAAAATTACATGAAAAACAAATTCATTTCAAAAGAAAAATTACAGAAGTGTGAACTGAGTTTAAATCCTTGTGGAATCAATTGAAATGGTACTAGTGATCCTATCAATGATTTATGAAACAATGAGTTAAATTATGATAATTTTTTTCAACATAATTGTCCTCGTATCCTATATTTTCCTAGGTACTGAAGACCTCTAATGGACAGATTTTTTTAAAAGATAATTTGAAGGGCCAACTGTGTAGTCAGACTTTATATTCTTATGGTGATGTTTACTTTTGTTGTAACACACTAGATCACTTTCTTAGAAGTTCCCTAAAGTTGGGGGTTTGGGGGAACTAAGTTACAGGAGAGTCTCCCTGCTGTGGATTGGGGACAGTTGAGGGACCATTTCTGAAATGATTATTCACAACTTGAGCCAGATCAGATTATCTAGACTTCGTTATTGAACTAAACATCTTTGGAAAATTAACGCTGTTTTTGGCCTCTTGCCAATCAAGCGGTCTTTTCAGGCCTCTCTTAGGTGGAGTCATGAAAACAACTCATCCCTCCCTCTTAATACATGTCTATCACTGCACAGTTAGGGTCACATTCTTCTTACTCTTGCAAGGCGATGAAATGCAATGACATGCACATCTACTCAGCTGGGCCTTGGATTGCCAGAGGCAGAGGGCTTGAACTTAAGTTTATTCTTACCTAGAGCATGATCCCACGAAGCTTCCTTAATAGGATAGCAATGTAGAAGGGCCACAGTGCAGAAATAGAGTTTCAGTCAATCTTATTCAACTTGAACTTCTACATGAGAGCTGGGTTGTATCAACATCGAGGATAAAGGGGGGAATCTCAAACTGCTGGTGGGAATTACAATGGGTTTTCTGTCTTGTTTTCTGGTTTGAGAGCGTGCACTGAGTCAATGCCAGGAGTTTAAAAAATACGTACAAGCTTCCGCTCCTAGGGAAGTGTAGTATGGAAATAATCAGATGAGTGGGCAATTTATTAAAAAAGTCCATTCCGGTGTTATTTGCAATAAGAAAGTGGAAGTAACCTAAGCGTCTGCTAACTGGACATGTACTAAATAATTTAGGTTTTAGTACATAATAGAATTCTAAGTGACCACTGGAATGTGAGGTGATCTATGTTCATCTTCATCCTATAGCAGGTTCATTGTATTCTTAAGTGAAAAGGTGGCATATTTTCAACCTATATAATCATCTCCTTACAACTGTATTCTCTATCTTTGAAATGAAATCCCTTAATACATACACAGCATGTATTATAATCTTGTTCTTAGAAATAATCAAAAAAGGTAAAGATTTTTACAATCTTTCAAATTACACAAAGCCATTATTTGCAAGCATCCCTGCCTTGGGCCAAAATTATATTATCCTTTCTCCCTTTCAAGTAGTTTCCCCAGTTTATACAGGGAGACAGAAAAGCAGTTCTCTTCATTAAAACTTCAGCTATTCAGAAGCTGAGGCCCAAAGATATGGTTTTAACTATGTTCAAACATGTTTTCTGATTTTAATTTTTCCAAGTTTATAGAATACTTCATTAACATCACTGGTCATTTCAATTAAACACTTTGGAAATCCAGGGAAAGAACAATTTTGACAACATCAACTGACATATGTAATCCTAAACTTTGCATTTAAATTTTCAGTCATGAAAGAGTTTTCTGCTTCCACCCTTGAGAAATGCCCCTAATGGGACTTACCTCCTGTTTGCTTCAAAGAAGGACTATATGAAGAATCTAGCAAAAGCCAATGACTTTTTCACATAAGCTCCAATTTTAAAATAGTTAATAGAAATCACTTATCAGTGAAGCTGGAAATAATTTAAGTAGTTTTTTGGTGTTTTTTTTTTTGCTTCTAGCATCACCCTTGACATGCAGTTCTATGTGAGCCTATAAAAGTCTAACTTTGTTAATCTTCAGTTTCCACGTCGTCTCTTCAAACCCGAGATGCCAAGGAAACTTTCTTTTAAAGATTTTTAGAAGGTACTAAGCCTTCTAAAGTGAAAGTTTTCATTCGTTTATTACACTAGTATTTATTAAGGGCAAATTCTATGTTAGGAAAAGTTTTAAGTGCTTGCGATGCCTAACAATTCTTGTTTTTAGGTATGTGATGATTTAACAAAACCAAATAAGCTTAAAGTGCTCATAAAAAATACAATGTGAAACAACCAGAGTTGAAGCTACAGGTATTTATTTACCATTTTATATTCTTAGCTAGTTGTATAAACCAAAGGAATGTAGTCAAAGCAAACCAAGTATTTTCCTGGCCTTTATTACCTGGGATTTAGAAGGAAGCACACAGTGAAATGCTGCTAAGTGTGTGACATGGTCACGGGAGTCACCCAGGTTTAAGAAATCCATCCTCAGTACAATCCCAGCTGAAAAAGAAGCTTAAAAATGCATCTGGTTTTTATCATTTGTGTGTGAATCAGCCTGTTGTTTTAACTAAATAACCTATCGATGCCATAAAGTTGTCTATGAATACAATTGCTTTATGTATGGAACTTCTTTGTAGAGTCAGGACCTGACGTTTCAGTCATTTTGTTTTCACAGAATTGTCAGAATTCTTAGCAGAACTTCACTTCATTTAAAGTCAGTTGTCCAACTTGACAGGGATGTTCTGTCACTTTTTCAGATTTTTAATTTTTGTGGATACAGAGGTCTGCGTTTTTCCTTTATGCTAAATAATTATCTAATTATCTTCAGTTTCTCTGATCATTCCTTTTTGCCTGATATCTTCCTGAGCATTGAATAAAGCAGTTAATAAGGTATGTAATAAGTAGACTTTATGCTTTCTTCTATTACAATTTTATATTGCATATAGATGTTTATTGTATAAAACAAGTCTGTAGAAGCAAGTTAATTTTATATCCATATCCCTTACCTGCAGAAAGACCCCACAGGGAATCTGATTACCCCTCAATGTGGGTCATCAGGTCCTTGGCTAGACCAGCCTAACTAGCATCCAACAGCAAATGAACATGGCTTTTATCAGCATGTTGCTCTGAAGGGACCTTTGTCCCCAGGTCATTATTAGGGTTAACAAGCTGGCAGATACACATTGTGCCATGTGCTTCTCCCCTTTGTTTTGTTTTTGAGACAGTCTTGCTCTGTTGCCAAGGCTGGAGTGCAGTGGCACAATCTTGACTCACTGTAACCTCCACTCTGAGTTCAAGCGATTCTCCTGCCTCACCTACCAAGTAGCTGGGATTACAGGCATGTGCCACCACGCCCAGTTAATTTTTTGTATTTTTAGTAGAGACAGGGTTTCGCCATGTTGGCCAGGCTGGTCTCGAACTCCTGGCCTCAAGTGATCCAACTGCCTCGGCCTCCCAAAGTGCTGAGATTACAGGCGTGAGCCACCATGCCCAGCCACTTCTCTCATTTGTAAATTGTTTATCAGTATCATGGCTTGGCACAAAACACCAGACCAGAGGTTAGAAGACGTGGTTCTGAAGCCCCATCTGCCTCTTGCTGGAATGGGGCAATAATTTGCTGTGAACATCAGCTTCTTCATCTCCCATGGGGCTAATTCTTTCTCTAAATACTTTATAAGAATTTGTGAAGATCAGAATCAAAATCAGGTAATGTAGTTAAATGTTTTCAAAACTAGGGACAGTCTTCTATTTTTTCCTCATTACCTGGATTAGTGCATGCCATGTTTCAGGTATACAACTGATAATTTAGTAACTTAAATATGATGTGTATTACTCAATATTAAAATTTATATATTATTTTAATAAAGAAGCAAATCTGGTGACCACAAATTACCTTATGTAAGAATTTGGTGAGATGACTGGGGAAAAATCCTTGGTCACTCCCTTTTACAGTGGGACTAGTTTTATGTGTGAAGGGAGTGGATACACACCATGTGTAAAATGAGATTAAAATTTTTTTTTAAGTTGTATTAAAGTAGAGCCTAACAGAAAAGCACACACATCAACAGTGGAAAGATTGATAAATCACCAGGAAAAGAACACGTTGATGTAACCACCATGAAATTTGTTGAATAGACTCAAACATTGAATAAGTCACCTCCTTCCATGCCCCGATCACTAATGTCCATGATATCCCTAGAAACTTGTCAAAATGCATTTCGCTTATTGCTTCAGGTATACTCTTGAAATGTCTGTCAATGTTAGAGTTAAATATTCTAGTTAAATATGCAAAGAATTAATCTTGGAAACATAAGAATAAAAGTCCTAATTTTTAATACATAGCAACTGAGGAAATGGGAAAGAAAACACATATCCCAGGATAGAGCACAAATGCAATGTGAACTGAAGGAGTTTTGTAGAGGGAAGATCGAGAAGGTGCTAGCTAAGGCAGGAGAATGGAGAATATGGAGGGCATTAGTGCAGAGACACAAAAGAATAAAATGTGAATGGAGCTGAATTGAAATAACACCGAGGATATTTCATAAATGAATCCTGGTCTGTTTCTTCACTTAATCCCTCCAGGACATTCTTCCATCTCTTTTCCATGTGTTTGATTTCAGGGTAAAGATCAAATTATTAGGAACCTTCTGAATGAAAAGCCACCTAGGGGTTAGCATATTGAAGGGAATATTCTTTATCTACGTCAGCAACAATGGAGGAAACATTTTTCCTTCTATCTGTGTTGACACTAGAACAACATAAGGCTGAGTAACCTTTGCTTAGTCTTTGTCAACTATGTAACCGCTCTGTCCAATGTTTTCTAAGCCTCGTATCAACAAAGAAAATAAACACCAGGTCCGTCAATATTTTTTATGTCTCATATTTCAGGACCTTACACACAGGAGAAACTAAAGTTACATGAATCGTGGGGTCAGTGTAGTCTTTGCTTAGTTAATATTCCACCAAAGTTACACATCTATCAAAGCACCACACCTAACTCCAACTAATTACAAAAATACTTGTCTTCAGCATATCAATGAAGATGTTGAGAATAAGAAAATTGAGCAACTTATTCCACGGGAACTAAGTTAGCTAATAAAATGTCTTGGTTTATTCATTCTACATTTATCTATTAACAATTTGAGCATAAATGGCAGTTTTGTAGGTTTTTGGCCATGTAACAATCTTAATGGCAGAGTCAATTTTCAATCAATGAATCAATATTTCCAGGAATATATTGGACTCCATGTGAATAAAGGCAGGGCAAGTATTTAATTTCAGAGGTAAGTGATAACATTCATAAAATGTAACTAAGAACATGGAACCAAAAATAGTATCACCTTCCTAAATGTTTTCTAATAAAATTGCTACACATTTAGCACTAGAAAATATTTTACTTGTATTGAATGTTTGAAATTAAGTCATCAAGGAGGTGGCAAATGCTCCTTCCAATTTCCATTCAAAAGTTGGTCAGCAATACAGACAGACAGGCAGGACTCATGATCACAGGTTAACAATAGAGACAGGCAGGACTCAATCACGTGTTAGCAATACAGACAGGCAGGACCCATGATCACACGTTAGCAATACAGACAGGCAGGACCCATGATCACACGTTAGCAATACAGACAGGCAGGACTCATGGTCACACGTTAGCAATACAGACAGGCAGGACTCATGGTCACACATTAGCAATATAGACAGGAAGGACTCACGATCACACGTTAGCAATACAGACACAGAAGGACTCATCACACGTTAGCAATACAGACAGGCAGGACTCATGATCACACGTCAGCAATACAGGCAGGCAGGACTCATGATCACACGTTAGCAATACAGACAGGAAGGACTCATGGTCACATGTTAACATGGGCACTTCCAAGAGCTGCTTGGCGTGCCATGAATGGTTTGTAGGGCTACTTGACTGAGAATGCCCTCTGGAAATGTTTGTGAATCCAGTTGAACAAAGTTGACTAATGCGGAGATGCTCACCAACTTCGCTACTGTTCCTAAGTAATCCTTGCAACAGGATGATTTTGCCTGTTAATTTTGAATTGCTGAAAGTGACACTGAACATTCTTCAGAACCAATACCATATTTTCTGTAATAGCTGCGTTATTGGCCGCAGCACCGCAGATGTTTGCACTAGTCCCTGCTAGTCCTTCCTGATCAGTCACCACCCCTGATGCTCTGGGAGTCCCCGCTAATCCTTCCCGATCACAGTCACCACTCTGATACTCTGGGAGTCCCTGCTAGCCCTTCCTGATCACAGTCGCCACCCTGATGCTCTGGGAGGAACCACATCTCCCTAGTACTTTCCTCAGAGCTGCAGCCACATCTTTATTCCTCAAGCTGTAGATGAGTGGGTTGAGCATGGGGGTGAGGATGGTGTAGAAGGCAGACACCACTTTATCTTTCTCTGGAGTGTGGTAGGAGTGGGGCAGCACGTTGGTGTAGAAGGCTGCCCCGTAGAAAACGCTCACCACCATAATGTGGGAGGAACACGTAGCAAAGGCTTTGCGCCGGCCCTCAGCAGAGTTCATCCTGTGGACAGTCAGGAGGATGTGCGTGTAGGACACAGAGATGACAGATAGAGGGATAAGCAGCATCAGCACGCAGCAGGCATACATCAGGGTCTCATAGAGTGACGTGTCTGTGCAAGACAACTTCAGCACGGCTGGGATCTCACAGAAAAAGTGATTGATCTCTCGGGATCTACAGAAGGGGAAACTCATAGTGACAGGAGTCAGCATGAACCCATCCAAGGAACCACCAACCCAGGAGCCGACCACCATGAATAAGCAAACCCTGCGGTTCATGAGGAGAGGGTACCGTAGAGGGTTGCACACAGCCACATAGCGGTCATAGGCCATGAGACCCAGCAGGAAGAATTCCCCTCCAATCAGGGTCAGGTAGAAGATTTGAACTGCACAGCCCAGGAAGGAAATGGTCTTGTCCTTGGACAGGAGGTCCTGGAGCATCTTGGGGACAGTGATACAGATGTAGATGGTATCCATGATGGAGAGCTGGCTGAGCAAGAAGTACATGGGTGTGTGGAGGCGGGAGTCCATGTGGATGAGCAGAATCATGACCAAGTTGGCTGTTATAGCCACCACAAAGATGGAGAAGACTACTGCAAAGAGAAGCCCGGGGAAGGCAGGATGGGTGATGAGGCCTGTGAGGACGAAGTTAGTGGAGTTCTGGAGAAGACCCTCCATGCCCATGGTCCATGACAAGCTCCTTGGGCTGTAAAGGCAGAAATCTGGCAGCTTATTTAACGACCTGATATGTAGGAAGAGCCCACCAGGAATAGTATGTCAGAAGCAGCGTGAGATCAAGAAAAGATCACCTACTTCAGGATCATTTGAAATCCTGGGTTTCAGTATTAATGATCTGTATGATATTGGACAGAAAATTAATCTCTCAACTCAATTTCATCATCTGTGAAAGGTCATCATAGTTCTGTACTCTACAGGCTGGATGTGAGATGTAAATGTAATTCATACAGTACCTGGTTTAGAATCTGATTTTTACTTTGAACTATCTTCTGAATACATTTCATAATCTTATCACTTTTAGATTGAAAGTTTTCTGAGGGTGGTTACTGTGCCTTATTTCCCATTTCGCCTAGCGAAATGATTTGAATTTAAATTGCTCTCTGCATCTCCATCGAGATGATTGTACTAGAGTCATCCACAGACGTCTATTTGTGACTTAAATTGATAGAAAACATCTAGATAACTGACTTTTTTGGCTGCTGTTGTTACTGAACAGCTTTATGAAAGTCAGGAACATCAAAGCAGTACAGATGACCTCATTTGGGGTCAGGAGCCACACTGTCTTGTGGTTAGACTTTTGTCCTGCAAAAGGAGTTCATCTTTTAGGCATGGACTGCTGTGAGAACTTGTGTCTATTTGTTCTCACAGAATAATTTGGGGATCATAAATCTGGCAGGACAACCACCACAAACTGCTTCAGAACAGGGCTTTAGTTTCGTTATCCTGGTGGTCTTTCCAGTTGACAATGAATTCTGCTAAAATTTAGATGCTGCATCATAGAATTCAATCATGACCTCATCTTAAAATATTGTTTAGCCAAAATGTTAGAGTTTCTCTGACAGAGTGGCATCCTGAACCTGTCCTAATATTATATCATCCTAGTAATCCACTGCTACTTGGGTTTTTTCCTCAAGTTTATTTCTCTACCATTTTACTGATCCTTCATGTTTATAAGTAAAAATAACTACAGTCGGGTGCAGTGGCTCCCACCCGTGATCCTAGCACTTTGGGTGGCCGAGGCAGGCAGATCACTTGAGGTCAGGACTTTGAGACCAGCCTGGCCAACATGGTGAAACCTCATCTCTACTAAAAATACAAAGATTAATCGGGCATGGTGGCAGGTGCCTGTACAATCCCAGCTACTCAGGAGGCTGAGGAAGGAGAATCGCTTGAACTTGAGAGGCGGAGGTTGCAGTGAGCTGAGATCGTGCCATTGCACTCCAGCCTGGGGGACAAGAGTAAGACTTTGTCTCAAAAAACAAAACAAGAAAACAAAAACTATAGATGGTAAAGAAATTTCTGAACTCAGACGCGACACAGCAGTATCAAACATTCCTTGAATCAATGGAATGAATTCTCATGCTTTTTTGAGTAATATGAATGTGTGTCCCTTTTATATGTTCAGGAATACTGAGGGATGAATTTTTCTTTATTAGATTATGGTGTATTTCTTCTCATTTTAGTGACAGGATTACTGAAGAAACTTGTTTTCTGTCAAACGTTTTGGCCACCAATACTACAAATGTATCTGAATCTTTTGGTTCTAGAATAGTCAAAATTTACAGTCCCTGAAGCATCAAGGAATAAACTCTCCTTATGTTGAAGCAAAAACAATAGCAACAGTAGAGTTTTCCTTCTTAGTGCTCAGAGATGGAGATATGAGTAATAGGCCTAAAAGATGAATAAACATCCAAAGGGAGAAAGAAAAAAAAGCAATTTTTGTGTTGGTCTGTGCTGAAACTTCAGTTTGTCACACCTTGGTTGAGGAGAAAAAAATACATGAGCATCAAATATTAACTCCTGTCAAGCGTGATAAAAGTCAGCTACTTTTGCCTTCTCTAACAGGTGAAAGATTTTCTTGTGATAGCCACAGCTTCGAATCATGGGTCAAGAGACTATTTAAATATACAATTCCATTTGCAGTGGCTTTTGCAATAGCTTGTTGGAAATTAAAAATATTAATCTCGCAGACAGTAAGTTTGTCTTGACCCACATCTATTGTTTCAGTTAAATGCATTATGGATATTATACATTAATTACTATAGTGTTAGGTTAGCTGACAATCATCCTTTTAAAAATATACTTTGAGGAACTGAAATAGGCAAGAATGAGACAAATGAAAATGACCTAAGAAAATAACCAATTACTTTTGAATCAGAACATGAACCAGAGCATTTTGTTTCATGTAAATAATCAGACTCCACAAGGTATTCAAAGAGGAGGTAAAACACTATTGCCTCAAATGTCTATGATAAAAGGATAAGAACGTTTTCAACCCCTAGATCTTATCTTACTGTAGGATCCCAGAAGAGGAGAGTAAAAAAGCTGAAACAGGAGAAAGATATGATTTTAGCCACCTCATTTTTATACAACCGAGACCGTGTTAAAAAAAAAAAAAAAAAGGTTCCTTGTGAGTGTGAGCGTTGTGCGTACATGTGTGTGTAGTGTGTTCATATGTGAGTGTGTGAGCATGGTATGTGTGGTGTGTGCATCTGTGAGTGGGTGGGGATATGTGTAGGGAAAAGGCCCTGCTAAAGAGCAGAACTACACTGCTTGGCACAAACGAGCAATTCACCCATTTCAATGAAGCCAATATTTAGAACCAAATGTGACATGTTCAAATGCATGCCTAATGTTATTCCATAGGCTACTGGGCATTGCAAGTAGACAGGGAAAATATCTGCATTATGGACAAAACATGTCATCAGTTACTTCTGTTTACATCGGTTCCGAGCATCTACATTTTAACATTAGAGTTGATGCTATTTAGCATTACGACGTGTGGTTTGACTTATTCACACATACAAGATCCTAGATTCCATTCCCCATCAGCTCATCTTTCCCTCACTATCATCATTCTCCACTCTAAGACACTTAGGTTCCCCTTCATCAACTAGTCTTTCCAAAAAAAAAAAAAAAAAAAGAAAAAGAAAAAGAAAAAGCTTTTATTTGCGTGATCAAAGCTTCAGGCTCTTCAAGGCGGCGAATGATTTCTCCCCAGTGCAGATTAGAACATAACCCAGAACCCCTGACCCCCAGGACCAGTTATAACATCACCCAGTGTTGCAACATAATCATCTGGCAGGAATGGGAGGGTGGGAAGATCAAGCCGAGAGGTGGAGGACACCAAGCACAGGAGCTCCACATCTGTTATCTGCACACTTGGGGCTGATGGATGAGGGATGAGTGAGCTCGCCAAGAGGCATTTATTCTACCTGTGGTCTGCCACATGGAGAAGAGGGAAAGGAGAATCTCTGCAGGGTGCCAGGTGATCAAAGCTGTATGTTTCAGGACAACAGCCCTGGAGTTGTTCTGGGAGAAGCCATAGAAATCAAGAACAATTGGTGACTCACCGAAAATTGAAGAGATCTCCAAGAGAAGTCACAGGTTCTTCTACCAGGGAGAAGAGCTTAGAGCAATTCATTCTGACACCCCTTTCTGGGAATTCAGCATGACTAGAGCTATGAGAAGTATCTGCCAGTGTCCTTTCTGTGGCAATAAAGCTGCTAACCAGAACTGATCTTCTCCACTTGACACAACGTACCTGTAAAGCTTGAAAGGGAAGGGTTTTCCATTCCATCCTTAGAGACAGAATGCCTGAAGCACAAACACATTCCGTGTTCAAAACACTCACCTAGCACTGGGTGAGCTATGAAGATTGATAGAACTGACAATATTCTTAAGGGGCACATAGTTAAGTTTGATTAATGTATCATATCAAAAATCCTCATAGAAGCAGATCATTTTAAGTCTAAAGTGGGGATTTCTAAAAATGAAAATATATTGGGGACTTTTTAAAGGTGTTTAGCCACAAATAACAGCTAATGCCATTGTGCTTTGCTCAGCTGTCAAATTGCTCTGGGGATGACACGCATAGTTACTTCTCCAGACCTCAGTGTTCTTTCAGTAAAAGAATGGCATGTCACCAACATGTTACTAATCCTAAGTGCCACATAGCTCTAAGAGTCATCGATTATTTGTTCCTGAATGAGAAAAAGGGGGCCAAGGATAGTATATTGGGATCTTTCTGCTTTGATTAAAGCTTATGAGAGAAGATAATGGTGTGGAAGGCACTAAGAGACGGAGGAAGAGAAACAGGAAGTTTGGTATTCCCCAAACCATAAACCAATAGGGCTTTACGTGTGCCAGGTACTTTAGAAGTTTTACATACATGAAGTCATAGCAAACCAGAAGATGCTATGCATCAGTTTGAGTAGTGGACAAAGGTACAGTTTCCCCTTATCAGTGGGAGACAGTTTTCAAGACCCCCACTGGATATCTGGAACTGCAGACAGTACTGAGCCCTATATATATACCATATTTTATCCCATGCATACATACCTATGATCAAGTTGAATTTATAAGTTAGGCACAGTAAGAGATTAACAATAATAAAATAGAATACCTAAGACAATATACTGTGGCTATAACTTTTTCAGTTTGATGTGACAGCAAAACTTGCATAATTTTTTCCTTCATGATTTCAAAGATAAAGTTTTTCTTAATATAGATCTTGGCAAAGTCAGCTTATGAGGGTTTCTCTCTCCTTAAGTCAAGAACTTTCACCTTTTTAGTTAAAGCAAGCACCTTACAGCCTCTCTTTGGCACATCTAAATCGCCAGCTTCACTAACTCCATCTCTTTGGGGCCATTAAGAAAAACTGAGTTACTTGAACACAAGCACTGAGTCCGCCACAGTCGATTTGATAACCTAGACAGCTACTGAATGACTCGGGGTAGCATAGACAGTGTGAATCAACTACACAGAGGGATGATATTTCCACCACACTACTCAAAATGGTGGGCAATTTAAAATTTGAGATTTTTCATTTAATATTTTTTACACATGGTAGATAGCAACCTGGCGGATTGCAGGTTAACTAAAACTATGGAAATGAAAGTGTTAAAGAGAGGAATACCATGTCAGAATTCTTTACCTCAAAGGTTCAACCCTAGGGCTAGAGACTGAAAGGATCTTAAAGCATGAAACTTTTGAAGAGCATCTAAGTGATCACTGCTTTGAAAATAGTGGATCACAAGAACCAGGAGAAGACAGGAGTCAGTTCAGTTAAACAGTGCAATAGTAGAGAGGGAAACCGGTCTGATTCCGAAACTCGAGACTGAAGGAGAGAGGACATGATCAGAGACAATGTAAATAATGTCAAAAGGCTCGAAAATGGGAATTAGCAGGCACTAGGGGTGGAAGAGAGAGGGGAGAGTCCAGTCTAACTACAGCTGAAGAGCCCGTGGAGAGCTGAGGTGTGTGGGGTGGAGTGCGGCTGGAAAGTGAAGGCAGAGAGACCAGAACTCAGCGTCGAGAAATAAGGTGCAAATGGGAGTTGTTTCAGTCAGAAAGTTACATGCTGAAATAAGGTACTTATGAAAGATCCACCTGGCAGTTTTAGTCTTGAAAGCAAGATTAATATTAATTGCTACTCATAAGTGTTCATAGCCACAGTGGGCTTTGGCCAGGAACTCCTTTTCTTCTTCTACCTACACAAGCTACTCCTGTACTCCGTCTGCTTTTATGAATGAATGCATTTGGACCTTGCTTCCTACATTAATCAGATTTTATCCCCTTCTCTCCACAGCAACGTAGTATCCAATGATGTGAATTTCTCTTTTCCCTTACCTTATCTCCAGTTCTAATTACATACTGCCTTAGTTACCACCCCCCTTTATCTGCCTATTTAAATGGTAACTGTTTTCATTCGTGGAAAAGTAGTCTACTTTCCCTCCCATCCCAACTGACAATTTGGAAATTTTCAGTGTGGAAAGTTAGGCATAAGATAGAAGAGGTTTGCTTGGCTTAAAAAAAAAACAAAACAAAATCAGCACTATAATGGCATGTAGGTGAACATTTATTGAACACTTACTATGCCAGAAATTAGTTCAGTTTGATGAATACAGGTTTTAATGCTACATGCCAACTTACCTAAACTACATTGTCAAGGATATCACCAATGGACTAGAAAGAAAGAAGTACATCTAGTTTCCTGGAGCATTGAGAGTAAAAGGTCTAAATTCCAAGCTGCCAGCAGGAGGGCTGTGATGTGGATGTGCAGGGGAATGCTTCTGGGCAGCAGTGTCAGTTCGTGTGGTGGCAAATAGAAATCAAAGGATCTGGCATATGGCCCATCCAGTCCACCCTGCTAACGCTGTGGAAGAGGAAATGGAGAGTGAGGGCATGGAGGATTACACAGGAGCAGCAGTGGTGAGGTGAGATGAGGTGAGGCGAGCTGAGGTTGGCCCATCTAGTCCACCCTACTAACGCTATGGAAGAGGAAATGGAGAGTGAGGGCATGGAGGATTACACAGGAACAGCAGTGGTGAGGTGAGGTGAGCTGAAGCAAGGGGCAGACACCTGCAGCTATAAACACAATGCACTCATTATTATACCCCTACAGTCTGAGCTTCCAACATGTCCACATCTCCCCCTAGGCTCCAGTTACTCAGCTCAACAGGCTTTTATATGCCATGCTAAGATGGCTTCTACGAGACCTCTAATAGTTTTATTAAAAAAAAAAAGATTATCTTAAGGCACACGTGGATGCCTTATGGGTTAAATAAAAGAGGAAGGAGGTTAAAATGAAATAAAGAATAAAATCATAATTTCCCTCCAAGCATGAAGTCTTCAGCCACACCTAAATGCATATGAACGGAACAATCATTTAACTTAAAATGTAAATTAAAATTTTAACAAGATATTCAGAGGGCAATCTATGCTTATCCAATAGTATGCACCCCTGCTACCAATTAAGTCTGAAACTTTCTCATTGTGAATACCAAGCACATTCTTCCAACTGTCGGCTCTTACATGCCATTTTCCTTCAGTAAATCTATTCATGTTCTTCTGAACTATTAGATTTCCCTTAGCTTCCCACGTTTCATACTAAATGCCCTTTTCCAGTTGTCTGCTTGCCAGATAGTGAATATATGTTATTTATGCTTAATCTTGAGAAGACCACTGCCTCAGTTATTAGCAGATAAGCTCACAGTAGTAACGTGGCCTTCTAATAGTTACAGAGTAATACCTGAAGAAAACATCCCAGTATCTGGGTGATGTTCTGTTTTTCATGAAGATCTAAGGATCCTACCTCAGAAGCTGGGTCCAAGTCTTTCTAAAGCAGTAGTGGAATGTCAGACTTCTTAAATACATTGTGTAGGGGTGAGGCTAGGTCAAAAAGTCTTTTCACTAAGAGTCCCACATCCCCCAGGAAGAATTCCTGGGTTAGCAATTAATCCAAGTTGACTGGGTTTACCATGAACTTTAGAAGCAGCCTGTCCTTTCTTGCAGAGGGTGCATTGTTTTCCCAAGTGAAGGACTGGAATCGTTTCTTGGTATTTCATCATGAAAATGTCTTACTGAATCTTGGCATCTCTCCAGAGAGATTTTAAAGGCAGTGATGTGGGGATAAGAGCCTCGCTCTAAATTGAAAATTAGATTTTAAATTTCTTTAGAAATAGAGGCTATGACAAACTAAAAAAGCTCTTTCTCAAAAGTCACTAGCCTCTTTTGTTTGGGGAGAAATCTTTAAAGTTATAAATAAGTGTGAATCAAAAAGCATTGGAGCCAAGTCTCAATCAATGTAGATGTTTCTGGTGCCAAGGTTGAGGATGCACCTGGGAAAAAGGAACACAAGATGACAGGAGCATCTGAGATTTGTGCTTCTTCCAAAGACGGTTGGGAGACTTCAATATTTAAAAGGGAAACAGTGGGCATTAGAGGAAAAAAGAAAAAGGAAGTGTGAATAAATGAAGTAGTTTCCTTCTTTCCAGGCTTTAATCAGTGTTGACTGAATTCGCACTTTAGATGTGACAGGAGAGGGTTTAGAGGAACACTCAACTGGGCGTTCATCTCCTGCTCAGTGAATCTGGATTGTATATAAGATAAGGTGCACAATAGAGGAAGCAGTCAAATATGCATTTGTTTCAGGGGAGTGGAGGGATGACTCCCAGGCCTGTCTACTGCCTGTCAAGATAAGCCATTCATTTACATTGTCAGCATGACATTCAACAGAATGGTTTTCAGGGAAAGATCTTTGGGCCAGCCAGGAATTTCCTTGCTAGCAGATTGTGAGGGAGGTCCCTTGGGGAGGTATGTAGCCTACCTGTGTAGCTGTCCATTCAGGAACAGTATGGAATCTGTAGCCATACAGTCAGGTACAGATATGGAATATAGTTTTGCATGACAGAGTTCCCAAGCTTGACTTTTCCCTTTGGCTTAGTGAGTTTGGGTCCCAAGAGATTTTCCTTCTACTTTCTCCTATCTTCTATTTTCACAAAAGTGGCATTTGTCACTTAGGTTAAGTGTTTTTCAGAATTATTTGTCTTACGTGTACTACAGAATATTGAATTCAGTACGAATAAAGGAGACATAAGAAAAATGATGGAAATAATGCAATTGGTAGAGAAGAAAAAAGTGAGGGTAATACAAGTTATGCATTTTCTAAAGTTTTCACCAGAGCACATTAAGATATTTAAACATTAGGAAAATTGAACTTCCTAACATTTATTTTACTAATGGGGAAAAGAAGGTGGTCTTATTACTAAATTTTTGCTTCCCAATCATCATTGAATGCTTTTCATGCATTAAGTCAGCTAATGGGCACATTACTTATGATTTCTAGTCATCACAAATCCATTGGACACATATTTTATACCCTCTGTTGCAGGTAATCAGAAAACCCTATACCTTTTTCAGCCTTTAGAATGTGATTCAATAATTCCTGAAGAATATTTTATATGTCATCCATAAATAAAGTTCTCCAACTATTGGATTGATTGGATACACTTCCCTCTGGTGTGATGTGTCTTTCTCCAGAGCCACAAATGGGTTACAACCAATATTGATCCTCTCAACCCTGGATTGGTCTTCAGTGCCCGATTTGGCTACAGCCACAGGGGAGTTGATTTTGCTGTCAACAGCCACATCAGTTTTCCTCAAGGTGCCATATCACTAATTTTTATAGTTATGTCATGAAAGCATTTGAGAAGTGCTGCTGTATCAGTTGGGAAAATTGTTAATACAAGCCCAACCTAAGGAAAAAATAACAGACCTGTGAACAGTGTATTGATTGGTATTAGTTTCTAACTCCTGTTCATGTGTCACAATACTTTGTCTAGTGTTGAACTTAGTTATATGATTTAGACTTTTTACAAGAGGTATTTTGTGGTGTCTTAATCTTCCATGTTTCTTATTCACCTTTTTTCTCTTTTCCTTCCCTTTAACTCTCTTCAGGAAGTAATCCTTTTATATCATCAGTAGGTATAGACTTGGTTGCTACAAGCCAAGACTGACTCCCACAGTTTGGAGTTTAGATTCTGTTTTAATTTCAGATAATTCTGCCTGCCCACTCTCACTCCATTCCAAAGTGCCACTTGACATTTTTGGGTGAATCTGTATTTGGCAAAACCTTGCTAGCTCCTATAAGACTTAATTTTTAAGTGTTCTATATTTCTAAAGATATTGGCCCTCTGCTCATGTCTCTGAAAAACAGACTATTAATTCATTTTCACACTGCTATAAAACACCCAAGACTGGGTAATTTATGAAGAGGTTAAGTGGGCTCAGTTCCACATGGCTGGGGAGGCCTCACAGCCAATGGTGGAAGGTGAAGGAGAAGCAAAGGCATGTCTTACATGGCAGCAGGCAAGACTCATGTGCAGGGGAACCACCCTTTGTAAAACCATCAGATCTCGTGAGACTTATTCATCATGAGAACAGCATGGGAAAAACCCACCCCCAGGATTCAATTAACTCCCACCAGGCCCCTCCCACTACACATGGGGATTATAGGAGCTACAATTCAAGATGATATTTGGGTGGGGAAACAGCCAAACCATTATCAGAGACACATTCTAATAAGTTCTTAACTGGAGGTTCTGGCAAGAAAAAAAGATATGCTGAGATTGCCAAGATCTACAGTAAGAATGAATCTTCTTTGAAATTGTGTAGGAGGAAAAACACATTTGTGGTAATTTTGCTGTCACACCTCAAACTGCAAAACCTACAGCCACAGTGTGTGATAAGTGCTTAGGTAAGAAAGAAAATGTATTACATTTATGGTAGAAGATGAGCAAATATGTTGTGACTGACAGCAGTCAGGTTCTATAGTTCTATACTATGGTTTCAGGCTTCCCCCAAAAAAGACTTAGAACACAGCCTGAGGATAAGATGGTGACTGCTATATTTGAAATATGATAAATATTTGAGTTGATTCTTTATAATGGTCAATGGACAGACTGTCTAAAGGGGAAAAGTCGAGAGAAGTCAGGGAAGTAGTTGAAGATGACCGTTTTTGTCATGACTGAGCAGAGCCAGAAACAGGCTACTCCATGATTTTTAGTGGAATACACACCTTGTTAAGAGCTCATGGGTGACTACTAAACCTCAACTTTATGCCTACCCCAGCCCAAACTGTTCATTGTTCAGAGCCTTCATACCTTTCAAAAAAATGAAATCCTTAAAATCCCAGGCAGCTTTCCAAATCCCATAAATGCCCCACAGTTGGTGGCATGTGGGTCACTTGTTTCCAGGCAGAGAATATTTAAATTCAAGGGCAATGATAAAGTCTTGTATCCTTCATTTCAAGTCTCTAGCAGCATATGAAATTTCTTTAGAAAGTGGTTACCTTTCCTGAGGACACACACCTCCCCACAACCTTCTGTAGGGCCCCTGTGACATCCTTGTTCCTAAGGCTGTAAATGAGTGGATTGAGCATGGGAGTAAGGATGGTGTAGAAGGCAGATACAGCTTTGTCCTGCTCAGGGGTGTGGTAAGAATGAGGCAGCACGTATGTGTACATGGCAGCCCCATAGAAGAGGCTGACAACCACCATGTGTGAGGAGCAGGTGGCCACAGCCTTTCCCCTCCCCTCTGCCTCGCTCATCCTATAAACAGTAATGAGAATTCTTGTGTAAGAGCCCGAGATGACAGAGAAAGGGATGAGGAGCATCATAATACAGCAGACATACATGGCTGTCTCGTAGGCTGATGTGTCCGTGCAGGAGAGCTTCAGAAGGGCAGGCACCTCGCAGAAGAAGTGGTTGATCTCCCGAGAGGCACAGAAGGGGAACTGCATGGTGACGGGGGTGAGCAAGAAACCATCGATAGACCCTCCCAGCCAGGCTGCCGCCACAATCAACCAGCAGATCTTGCGGCTCATGAGGACAGGATAGTGCAGAGGGTTGCAGATGGCTACGTAGCGATCATAGGACATGAGTCCTAGGAGGAAGAACTCAGCCCCTGCTAAGGTCAAGTAGAGGAAGTGTTGGGCAGTGCATCCAGCAAAGGAAATGGCTCTCTGGCTCATCACCTGGTCGACCAGCATTTTGGGCACAATGGTGGAAATATACAGGATGTCCCTGAGGGAGAGCTGGCTGAGCAGGAAGTACATGGGGGTGTGGAGGCGGGAGTCTATGTGGATGAGAATGATCTTGACCACGTTGCTGGCTATGGAGGTCAAAAAGACCAGGAGAATGAGGGCAAAGAGAAGCCAGGGGAAACGGGCGTTGCTGAACAAACCCAGAAGGATAAAGTCGGCATACACGGAATAATTGCTCTGCTCCATAGCTCTGTAGGGTACACAAAAGAGATATGACAAAGTTGGAAAGGTATCTGATTTACATAAAACATTATGATGTAGTCATGAACAAACCAAGGTCAAGTCGATCTTATTTCTTGAAGCTCATAATTTCCCTGAGAGAACTGCCTGAGCAGGATTGTGCTACATCTCATTATACCATCATTGTTCATTTAAGGATTTTCTTGATTTGGTGATTACTATTTAGAGTTCATGATCAAACAATCTTTTTGTTCATGACCATTTATTTCTGTCTTTCGAGTACCACCTTACATTGGTGAGGATGCATATAAGACATAAGAATGGAACCAGCCTGATTCAATAGGATAGGGTGGTGGGGAGGAAAGGAGGATTGTCCACATCCTACACTGCTCTCCTTATACTAGACTCTAAGTTCTCACACTTAGAATCCAGTTTGAAGATCACCACGAGTATATATTTGCCTATGGAAGAATAACTGCATTATTTGACCTAATTTACACCATTCTTGACACACTTGTACATTGTAAAATGAGTACTCAACTTACATGTATCAGGTGGAGTATTGCAGAATGAGCCTGTGTTGAATAAAAAGAGCTGAGTTCTGAGAAGTCATCCAAGAATTCATAGGAGGAAAAATCATGGGAGAAAACGTTGAGGGTCAAGTGGTGTTTGCTTTCCTTCTTGCAGCAGCAAACTACCAATTATTAACATACAACTCGTTAAAGTGTTAGAATCCCATTTAACTTATGAAAAAATAAACTAGTTTAAGTATTAGACCTAGTGTATCCCAAAAAGAAGGGATCTCTCATACTTGAAGTTAGATTCTGCATATGTATCCATATCAGTTAAATATTTTACCACAATTTAGGAACACTTGAGTTATTTGGATAGCTTCTCCCTGCATCATATAGATCTGCACTATCCAGGGTGGTAGCCATGAGGCTTATGAAGCTGTGGAGCCCCTGAAACACGACTGCTCCAAATCAAGATGTGCCATGAGCACAAAGTTAATTCAAACACCTGTTAAAAATATATGCAACACATCTCCTTAAAACTTTATATTATGGTAACTTTTAGATATATTTGGATAATATAGATTAAAATTAGTTTCACCTATTTTTTACATTTTTAATGTGGTTACTAGAAAATTTAGAATTCTCTGTGGCTCCCCTAGGATTTCTACTAGGCAGCACTGGTCTAGAGTTATCCCTGAGAATATGACAGCTCCAAATACCTTCATCCAAACAAGTCCTCCAGAGTTAAACACACCACAAATTAGAATTGAGCCAAAAAATTTAGGTGTGTACCAAATTAGAAAAATGGCTTTACTTGTATATGCATTCACCCTCAAATAGCAGTAAGAACATTAATAAGTGATTCGTAAATTTTACGTTTCCAAACAACTTTGTAAGATACTAGACCATTCTACAGTTGAAAATTAGGCTTAAGGAAACTTCCCCAAGGAGGAACATTGTTCTTTAAACAGTGACAGTGTAATTGTTCTATGCTGTTTTCCAACAGGACAAAGTAGACATCAATTCATTCCATAAATATTTCTCAAGAGGCACATTGGGTAAGCCAAAGTTTGATATTCTGAAAGGCCCTGAAAGAATGTAAGACATCATCTGTCTTCGAGCCTAGAATTGAGGCACATGAACGTGTGTTGTGTGACCACAGGTGCACTTTCAGAATGGTTTTAAGACCTCAGCAGGTTTGACTTATTTGGTATGTGAACAAAGGACAATAAAAATGATGGAAGCTGCAGCCCACTGGCTGGTAGACAGGAACTTCACACCAGGGCCCCTCAGTACAATTCCACCACAACCATGCCACAGTGGATGGATGGAAAACGATGAAAATTCAGATTTTTACTGATGAAACCCACATTATATCCTTATGCATTTTTCAGTTCTCATTCTTGAAATATTACCAGCTTTATGCCAGAGCTTTCCATCAGCTGATTTATAATGTATCTTTATTATTTTAAAAACTGTTAAACCAGTGGGAAAATTAAAGGCAAACATTTAGTAGCAATTCGTATGATGGAGAGTGCTGAATGCTCACCCAGACCTGGTTGTCCATAATTTAATAAGAACAAGATCCTTGGAGGGCCGTGCTTGTTATTTCACAGTAAATTCAGAGAATGATGGCTACCTACTGGGGACCAGCCACAGTGACTGCTATTGGTCCACTGGGAATATTAAAGCCCAAGATGAAAAAATTGGTCCAAAAATATCCTTATCAGGGCAGCTGTGTCCTGAACCCTGACCATGAATACTCCTGGCCCTGAAACTTGCTAATGAGACCCTGGGGATCTCCCCAGCTTACTTCACAAAGGGAAAGGGGAGATATGAGTGGCTCCATAACCACTCAGATTTTACAACCATCTTCCAACTCTGGTAGTGTTGATTCATTCACTGTATTTTAAGAGTTACCCAGTATAGCAACATTTAAGAATACTTGGAAAATAAAGGAATCAACTGGATTATGCCATGCCCCATGTAATAACTGTCTATGCATAATTCCAAACCTTAGTAAACGTCCAGTTCTATGTATACCTAATAATTAGCACATCTTTCCCAGTCTTTATAGAGAATATTGCTGTGATTGAATATGAGACACTCAGCTTGGTTCACATTCACGTTGTTGAGTTTGCTTATAATGCAAGTATTGTGAGGTGAATTCTCTGGCATAATTCATGGACAACGGTTTACTATGCTTTAGAAGCTTATCACCAAGTTGTTAAATGCTTAACAGTAAGAGAACACACTTGCGGCAGCATCATGCTTGCCCCAGCATTTAGCACTAGTATCAAAACTCACAATATGGATTTGATTATGAAAAAAATTGAACATAGTGTATATTTTGGCTATTTTGATTTTTCATGACCTTTTCTATATATAGGTGATTTGTCGAGATTAGTCTATAGATTTTTATTTTTTATTAATATTCTTTTGTTCTATTTAGTGCAGCTATTTTGCCCCCCGAGTTACATACATGTAATTGTAACTTTGATGTTTAGGCCAAAAAGTTTTGAAATATTTCAGACATTTTCATTCTGTGTGCTGGATTTTTGAAAAAAATATTTTCCATCGAGGTATGTGATTAATATACAATTTAAAATTTTTAATGTAATTTCTATGCACTTAAAATCTTTGGTCTAGACATTAAAACTATGCAACCATTGGTTTATGAGATCAACAATGATAAATTTGTACTTTAAGATCATGCCAGTGAATTCTATCTAATTGGAGTTCTTCAAATAAGCAGGAGTTCAAGTGTGAATGATGAGCAGGAATGACCTAAGTAACAAGGAGAACTGTTGGAAATGTGGGAACACTGTCATGGGTAAAATTAGTTTTCACCCTTGTTGCATGTACAAATTCTGGTATAAAAAGCGAGTACTAAAAATGAGTGCCAGGTTAACCTTAAGACTGTGATAGCGACAGTTAGCTTTGGGAATCTCACCCTTTGCTGTCCATTATGTTTTTCTCTTCAATAGCAGGTCCAGCAGCAGGTAGCCAAGTTTTCTACTTTTTCATTTTTGTTGTCGTTCTGTCAGACCCTGCTCTGCATCAAAGATTGGCACAATTCTTGGTGACCATCTAACTCAGAATACGTTTGAGTGCTAAAAGGCTAAGCTAGACAGGACATGAGGACAACAGGCATAAGAAAGGGAATATCTTGAGAAGACAGGGCTAAATGGTGACCCTGACTATAAGACATTTAATTCTCTGTACAATCAGATTCATTATGTTTCCTCCCCAGCAGTATTTTCACATGAAGTGTCACTTCTAGAAAATGGCTTTTCTTCCACAACTAAAGTAAAATCACTTGGGGAATCTTTAGAACGATAGAGAAGTTTTGATTAAGGCCGAGGGATTGTCTTGAAGCAGACCAAGGGCATGATCACCTTCAGTCTCTACAGAAGTTGAACTGAGTTCTTCCCCTGTCTATTCCTAACCCTTGAAACATTCTTGGCATGTTTAATGTTCACAATGCTACATGACATGGTTTTTAATCAAAGCTGGCTTTATATTCTATCTTCATCACTGATAAGCTTCTGGACGTCTGGCAAGCCACTCACATTCTTTTCAGCTTCTGGGAACTTCTAAGTATTAAGTATGCTGCAATGGTTTCTCGGAGCAGGATATGGAGGGTCTTCCTAACTAAACCATTTTTAGAGATGCTTATGAGGTACCTAAACAAGGTGGAATACTACGATTTAGATAAGCTCTTTATGAAGATTTTAAAATTATAGGTGAATATATGTTGCAATGATAAAATCTGTTGGAATCATTATGCAGACAGATCTGCATAGAATTCAAGTAATCTGCTACATTCTGATGTACAGAAAAGATAAGAGTCCATAACTACTAAGAAACGAGATTGAATTATCTAAGATTTATATATTAGTACCATCCACAAGTATCTGCAGTTCAAAGTCAGATGTATCAACTTCAACATTCTCCAGTATTTCTCTGGTTTGAACCAAAACTTTCTAGGAAGTCCAGAATCTATTTAAAGCATCCTGCGATTGATCAGCATCAAGACTGCAAACTTACCTTACACAGTATCTTCCCCAAACACGATGATCTGAATATTTAGAGAGAAACCTTACAGAACTAAGGTAGTACATGCAATTGTTCAGCATTTCCTTTTATGTAGTAAGTATGGGGAACTAAGAGGCATACATCAGACTTTCTAAACTGGAGGTATTCTATGTTCTGTATTTCAAACTTGTTTTCTGAACTGAAACAGTACAGGCAGGGAGAGTATGAATTCAAACAAGAAGGTACAGTGGATTAGGCGTGGGAATTACATCTTGTTGGCAGAAGGATAAGGGTCAGTCCCTAACTTATTGAGACTTTTTAAAATACAGTGATAGGTGAATCCTTTGAAGATCTAGAAATAGAACAGCCTGAATCTGTAAATGCCTAACGTCAGTTGACAGCAGCTGCATTATGCAGGCTGTTAAGAAGATAGAGATCCAGTGACAAATAGAGCTTGCATCATGGTGATGGCTAGTACTCCCATTCAGGAGATACATTGACATCACTGTCTCTGGGGTCCTTGTCCCTAGCCTGCAATTACAGTTCATATAAAATGTGACAGACTCCTTAAGAAAAATGTAACCTCTCAATTTACAAAGTAAACACCCAAGATAAGTCAGGTTGCTGGCAGCTGCAACTTAAATTGCTTTTTTCTCTTTTACTTTGTTCACGACATTGTTTTGAAAGTTTCTCTTTTTACACTTCCAACTTTCGGGCATCTCTCTTGAAATAGAAATCAATGTTTCTAAGGAAGTATTGTCTTGCAAAAGATACATTTTGGGCCATTCCCCATCACTCAAGTATTAGTATGTAATCATCCTGTCTTTCTTGTAACTTGTAATACATAAAACTTTCAGCATTGCAAGCATTTAAAAATATTCATTTTACTGATCTCAGTGTATATAAGATCTTTGAGTTACTTCAAGAAGACAGACCTTTTCTCATCCAGTATTCTCAAAAGGGCCCACAACGATTCCTGGGGGGAGCGGGGAAGGGTGGGGGGGAATTTTAGACCCTGCAGTCTTGTTGTGCTGCAATCTATGCCTGCATGATCTTGGCTTTCATGTAATTCATATTTACCTCACTGGTGTTTAAATTAGTGGGGGTTGGAATTCAGGTTTTCTGAGGCTGAAGCTTATGCAATCTGGGGCATCTTAAGAAAACAGGCTACAAATCATGATTGCACAGGTATAATATTCTCTTCAGTGAAACTCCAACAAAATTACACCTTTAGAAAGCTGACAAAATACCACAAAGAAATACATAAACACCCCAACTTAAATCTTAACTGGTTGAACTTACCACTTACCATTTTTTCCAACAACTGGCTACATTACTATGTACTCTAATATTTTCTATAAGCAAGAAGAGATGATTCAATCCTAGTACGGTTGGTTGAAATTTTTAAATTTTTTGGTAGTTTAGAAAATTCTTTGGGTCTTTCCCCTTTGTTCAGGATTGAGGTCCAATCTGAGAAAGCCACTGTTAAATTACTTTCATATATGACCTGCCTTAGCTTCCCCAAAAATTGACCTTAGAAAATATTTGAAACTGAGAAAAATGATTCAGAGCAGTCTGAAGAATGTGAGCTTTACCAAACGTCTTAGGCTCAGAGACACGAGCATGAGAATTCAATAACTTCCCTACCCAGCCCTGCTCACACATGCGCACCTGGGGTTGTTTAAAGGAATTTTATACTTCCCCCCGCTCCCCCGAAGTTTCCAGACTAGCTGATAAGTTACCTAAAATGTTACAAGTTGTACAATATGACCTTTACCAACCATCTTCATGTTCCCTACAGAGAATAGTGTATAGCTGATCAATAGCTACAAAAGAACAATGTCTAGTTGATCAATAGTTTATGTCAGCTTAGAACTTCTCTTTTCCCTTAGAGGCCCCATTATAACTGCTGTTAGTTGGAGCATTTATTTAAGGCTACTAGAATCTGTCTCCTCAGATTGCATTTCCCAATCTTGGTCCAAATATACGTGTTAACTTTGCCTCAAGTTTTTTCCTTTAGGTTGATACAACCATCACCACCATCCATCTCCAGGACTTTTTCCTCATCCCAAACAAATCTTCTGTACCCATTAAACATTAACTCTATTTTCTCCTTTTCCTCATCTCTGGGGTAAGGTGTATTCTGTTTCTGTGGATTTTCCTCTTCTAGGTACTGTAGCAAACCTGTACAATTGCTACTTGAGACGGTCACTACCGCAGTTACTGTTACTGCTTGAGATGCTCATTACAGGGCTGAGCGAAGGGAGGGAGGTAGAAGTGGGGGGAAAACACTGTTCGAAGGCTAAGCTCGGGGAAGAAGAGCTCCCAGCTTCTAGTGAGCAAGGGCAGCCGCCCCAGCTTCTCAGCCCTCCGCATGGATCGAGTAGGAGCAGGGAGGAGGACGCACGATTGATCAGCTGCGTGATTGATCGCAGGTGCACATGGTTGCGATCGGACCTTCCCACGCACCTAATGACACACTCGTGCCTGCGCGTGACGCCCTCCGCTCCACCTCCGCGCGGAAACGCAGTCTCTCAGTTTGCCAACATTCTGCATTTGTGAGAAGCAGTTTTGCTGCTTACTCGTCCGGCCTCCAGTGGTAAACCGAGCCGATCGCGACCCTCGCCCTTTCTGCCTCCAACCCTTTTTTAAATTATGTCTGTCCCTGTATTATGGGGGTTGAGGTCAGCGGGACTGCGGTCGGCCCTCGGTCCCGAGGGCACCCACACGGTTCATCTCCTGTAAAGACACAGGCATGTCCTGTCCCCACGTTAGTAACTCTACAAAAGCAAAAAGCTTTCTGGGGCTGCAGCCGGGAGCCAGGCCATTGCTGAGGCCTCCGCTCCACAAGCTGCGGCGCAGCTTCTGCCTCTTGGCCTAATTGCTGCGGGGTAAAACTTTCCGTTGATAGTGAAAGCAGCTTTTTCTGATGAACAGAAGGCACAGAGAAAACAAGTTGAGGCTTATCCTTCTCGTGCAACAGTGTAGCAAAAAAGCAATCCTTAAACCTTCCATTTGCACTTACACAGGCGGGTCTATTAGATGCTGTGGGTTGTGATAGCTTTCTCCCAGCTGTACTTCCAAATGCCTGACCTCCTCGCTTCTTACGTAGAGAAGGGTACAATTTACAGGGGATGAGCAACAGCTGCGCAATATATTCTCCTGCTTCAAAACCCAGAGATCTTGGGACATGACCGCTACCTGAATTTCTCCATAAGCCGAAGAACTCCTGGGACTTCAGTAATGCCCCGCAAGTTAAGATGACTTTTGCCTAAAATTAATCCCACCTATCCTGTTGGCAAAGGTCCCCAAACGCCAGTGTGAGTCAGGTTGCTTTCCCCCCAAAGCCGGTTGCTTTCCCCTAAACCCGTTCGTTTGGGAGATCTAATCCTGTGCTTCCTACTGCGTGAGGAGGGGGAGTCAAAGCACCTCCAGAAACCCCCCTGAAACGGAGTTGTGGCCTGGACTGGGGAAGTCCTTGTTCGAGGTGCCCAGGTCCAGGCCCGCTTCTGGTTTCCCCACAGGGAGTGCCGTTCTGGTCAAATATAGAGTAGCATTGATTAGCCTAGTGATTTCCCTTATTTCAACGACGGCAAAGTCCTGGCACTTTTTCTGTTGAGAACTGTTTTAAGACCCCTTCTGCCCAGAGGTCTGACGGCATTCTCTTTTGCAACGTCCAATTCTCTACACTTACAACTTTTCCACTCTAGGGCTCAACCCTTGGCTCCTTTTAGATCTGTCAACTACCAAAATTAGCTGTTGCCTGAATCAACATTATAAAGTAGTGAAGCTCAGTTCCCACATCTTGAAAAACTACGAAAACCTCCTGAACTTTCTGCACACCTCACAGGTGCCACTGCACGTTCCCAATCCACATTTGTAGCCTCAATAAGCCATAGTCAAAGTGAGCATTTCTGTAGCCACAAAAGATGCTGCCAGCCAGTTTTCATTCTCCCTCTTGTCTACCACTTTTGATAGGTGCTCTAAGTGGGGCAAAACAGTCTCTCCGGCCCTGAAATAACGGAAAAGGTATGTACCAAACTCCAAATGAAAGAAAAAAATAACCAAATTCTTCCCCATGCTACCCTGATTCAAAAACTTCCCGTTCTTCAAACCTCTGGGGCACTGACAAGTACCTTTTTAGAGCACTAGCCTTATGTTGCTGCTGGCTGACTTGTAATGGGGTTTCTCGTTTGTCTGGCTAGTTTTAGCTTCTGTTCCAGCAGACCTTCCTCGTTCAAGTCTCTATAGGAACCTGTCTGTCCCTGCAAGTTTCTGCTAGTCTCTGCTAGTCTTTATCTATCCCTATCTGTCCCCATGGTCCCTGTTAGTTCCTGCAAGTTCCTGTCTTTCCCTACCTATACTCTGTCTTTCTCTCTATCCCTGCTGATCTATTTATCCCTCCAGGCCTCTTCAGGTCTGTACTTGTCCCTAGATGCCCCTGTTCAGGCAACACTTGTGACAGACTTGTACAATTACTACTTGAAACCATCATTACAGGACTGAATGAAGAAATGAATGTAGAAATAGTAACAAAAGACAGAAGAAAACGGTTTTAAGGAAAGGCTCGCTTAGGGGAAGAAGAGAGATCCCAGCTCCTAGTCAGTAAAGGCAGCCGCCCGAACTTCTCAGCCCTCCGTATTTATTGGGTAGAAAGAGCAGGGAGGAGGACGTCACGATTGGTCAACTACTTGATTGATTACAGGTTCACATCATTGCTATCAGACTTTCAGACGTACCTAATAATAACAAACACTTGTGCCTGGGGCGTGACCGCCCTCAGCATAACCTCTGTGTGGCAAACGCAGTTTGTCAGTTTGCCAACATTCTGCATTTATGAGAAGCAGTTTTGCTGCTTACTCACCCAGCCTCCAGTGGGGTACTCAGTTGATCACGACCCTCACTCTTTCGGCCTCCAACAGGGTACCTCAAATGAGTAGAATCATACAATATCTGCCTTTATACTTACTTCACTTCATTTTCAGGGTTCATCCATGTGGCAGTAAATATCAGAGTTTCATTCCTTTTGAAGGCGGAATAGTATCACATTGCTTGTATATATCACATTTTGCTCATTTATTTGTCTATTGATGGACACAACATTTTGGCTACCGTAAATAATGGAGCTATGAACATTGTTGTACAATTTTCTGAGTTCATGATTTTAATTCTTTTAAATTTCAAAAATAATTTTGAAATTCTTTTGAATGGTATCTTCAATAAGTTGAGACACATACATTTGTTGTGTAAGTCACTGAGATTTTGGGGTGTTGTAAGTAAGTCCTATGAAGGACTCAGTGTGAGCAGACTGGTGCACTGTTCTCCCTTTTCATGGATGCATAGGAATATGGTCAGGGCTAGAATGACAACACACTGGCTATTTACCTTGAAAGACTTTAACATAATAATAAAGGGAGTTTAAAAAGGAACTGATTGTTTGAGATACTGAAGAAATAGAAATAGATTCAGAGATTAATGAAGATAGATACTTAGAGCCAGAACTACAGTTAGAAACAGAGATATAGATTCAATGTTCTCTCTCTCCCAAGATAGACAGATAGCTAGATAGATAGCCGGAGGATATGAATACAATTTGGCAAGCTGATTCTTAAAAAGATGATCAAAGAGCCAAGAATAGCAGCCAAGATAATGTTAAATAAGAACAACGCAGATAAATGGTCATGCCAGAAATTCAGACTTACTTTCAAGTTAAACCGTTAAACAGTATACAACTCACACATCACAAGACAAACCAAAAAAAAAAAAAAAGAATAAAGAGTTCAGAAATAGGTCCATGCATCTACAGAAATTTTATGAAACCTTATTTCATCTGACAAATGTTTGTTGAATTTATACTATGTACAGCCATCTATTGAACTATTAAGACCCTTGGGATATATTTGTTTGCAAAATAGGTGCCTGTCCTCATGAAGCTGCCCATGTAGCCCAGAGGCAGTGAAAAATAATAAACAGAAGAAAGAAGTTAACTATATAGTCTGTCAATGTCAAATGGTATAGAGAAAGGGAAAAAGTAGATTAAGAGAGAGAAAGAATTGCCGAAGCTGTGGTAACGTTTGTTGCTTTTTACAATGTCATCGATAGTACAGATCTCTTTGGAAGGATAACATTCATGCAGTCTTGAGGACATAAAGAATTTAGCCCTGAAGAGAGTGTTGGGGTGGGAGGGATCCCAAGTGGAGAAAAAAAAAAAAAAACTGGTGGGACAGGCCTGAGGTGAGAGTGTACATGGCTTATTCAAAGAATGACAAGAAGGCCAGGATGGCTGGAGCAGTGAGGGAAACAGTGGCACAAGCAGACATCTAAGAGGTAATGGGGCAGAGGAGCATGTAAAAGGGCCCTGTAGAGCTTCCTGTAAGAATTTTAGATTTTACTCCCAATAAACAGTGAGCGACAGTGGGGTTTTAATCACCAAAGTGGCATGATCTGACGTTTCTTCAACTGTTGCTTTAGAAATAACCCTTAGAGGATTTAGGTAAAGCAGGAACATATTGTAGAAATGGTTGGAACCTAGATGTCTTCTGAAGGTAGAGCCAACAGGATTCCTTTACTAGTTGGATATCTGATTCAAGGGAAAGAGAAGCACCAGGGGCAACTCTAAGGGCTTGGATTGAGCAACTGAAATTGTGGACCTCCTACCACTGGGCCTAAGGAAAGACGCAGTTGCAGGAAGTTTAGGGTGGGAAGACAGAGGCACAGATCAGTTTGGTGAATGCCAAGTTTGCTTTGAACTGCAGTCATTAATACATAGATATTATTATATAGATACATGTTTATAGCTAAGAACCCCAATGAGCTTAACAGAGAAAAGGTACAGGAAAAAAAAGAAGAGGACCCATAACTGAGCTAGGAGCCCTCCAGTATTAAGAAGTGAGCCTGGAGAAATGACACAAGGAGAAAAAAAATTAAAAGGAAAAACAAAACAATGAGTTAGGAAAAGCCATCAGTATGGTGTACTTGAAGACAGATGAAAATGCAACAAAACAAAATACACATCTTCAATCGAGGGAACAGACAGTTATATCAAAACAAGGAAAAAAACAGACAAACAAAAACTGTGCTGATTGCCCTGAAAGATTTGATTTATCCACATAAAGATCATTGAAATGAGAGGTAAATATCCTGAATAGAGAGGACAGTGGAGGAATTAGGGAGACCAAGAGCAGGCAAAGCTTTTATGGAATGTGACTATAAAGGAGACAGAGATGTCACTGCAGATCTGGGAAAAATAAATTTATCAAGTTGTATTGGGAAAATTGTTTGTTCATATGGGGAATGGAAAATTTGCCTAAAGTCACATACCACAGATATGTTTTAGGCGGGTTAAAAACTAAAAGGTGAAGAAAGAAAAAAAAAAAACTATGAGCTTTTAGAAGATAGGATAATATTTTCTTGACTTCAGGTTATGAACAGATTACTTAAGACAAAAAAGGCTAATATAAAGTAAAATATTGGTAATTCAATTTACAAATAAAATTTGAACACTTGGATAGGTCACAAACTAGCAGATGTGTAACAAAACTGAAAACAAAATATCCAGCACATGTATAAAAAAATTCTTATGTGTCTATAACAAAAGGCCAAAATTTGATAGCAAATGGGAAAAATACTTGAATAGGTACTTTACAAAAGGGAAACTCTAAATGGCTAATAAATCAAAGAAAACTTACTCAACCTCATTATAAGTCAGAAAAATACATACCCATCAATTCTACCCATAGGTATATGCACTATATTTTTTGCATTTATATATGAAAACATAAGGACATAAATGTCAATAGCAAAAGCATTCATAATAGCCTGAAGCTGAAAATAACATACATACCAAATAACTATAGAATAAATATATCAATTAAGATATTCAATGACTTTGCATATGCTAAGGAAAATGAGCAAACCATACACGATAATGAGCTGAATATCACAAAAATTATATTTAGCAAAAAAGTCAAAAAAATATTCAAAGTAACTTCATTTTTAAAGTTCAAAAATAGACAAGAGTAAACTCTGTTGTTTAGAGATAGATACTGTATTAGTCCGTCCTCGTGCTGCCATAAAGACATACCTGGGACTGGGTAATTTATGGAGAAAAGAGGTTTAATTGACTCACAGTTGCTTAGGCTTCACAGAAAGCTGGCTGGGGAGGCCCCGGGAAACACACAATCATGGGGGAAGGTGGAGGGGAAGCAGGTACAATATTTACAAGGCTGAGCAGGAGAGAGAGAGTGAAAGGGGAAGTGCTTCACACTTTCAAGCAACTAGATCTCAGGAGAACTCACTCAGAATCATGAGCACAGCAAGGGGGAAATCCACCCCAGGATCCAATCACCTCCTACCAGCTACCTCCCTGAACACTGGGAATTACAATTCAACATGAGATTTAGGTGGGGACACAGAGCCAAACCATATTGACACATAAGATGTAAAACTATGAAAATAATAAAGGAAACTAGTCACCTATCAGCTAAATGACAGTACCTGATTCATTCAGGCCAAAATGTGAAAGTATTACTAACCACAGGTTCTTGGGCTCCTGTGCAATAGAAATGGACATGAGACCAAGCAAGTTTTCCAGACAAGGCTTTATTAAGGGCTTATGCTCGAACACAAGGGAGACAGCACTGGAATGACAGTTCTCTGGCTGGTTCCCCATGGCTAGGTCTTTGCTGTGTTTTAAGATGAGTGACGTGGATAATCATGAGGTATGGGAGGCTCTTTATACATGTGGAGTGGAGCACAGGATATGCAGGCACAGTGAGAAATTATGTGAACACATACATTGCATGATCAAAAAATGGTAGGTAAGCCCTTCCCTGGGTGGAGATTTTAGTATTATAATGAAGCAAGGGGTAAAGATCAGTCATTCTTCTGGTCTTAGGCACACGTGAGTGATAAGGTTAACTCCCTTGAATAAGATTTATGGTGGAATGCTGCTTAACTTAGTTTCTTCAAGTTATCCATCCAGTGGGTATCGTGCCAGTGGAGGTGGTGGTGCAAGGTCTGGAAGTTGGCAGGTACGGGAAAAAAATGTGATAGTAGGAGTGGGGGCCAAGCCCTGTCCTTACTGTGTCTCAGAAGTAGGTTATGTGTATTGATACAGTTCAGACACACATTCTGTCCCTGATATAATGAACTGATACAGTTCACAGACACATTCTATCCCTGATGTAATGAACTGATACAGTTCAGAGACACATTCTATCCCTGATATAATGAACGGATACAGTTCATAGACACATTCTATCCCTGATATAATGAACGGATACAGTTCAGACACACCTTATATCCCTGATATAATGAACTGATACAGTTCAGAGACACATTCTATCCCTGATATAATGAATGCATACAGTTCAGACACATTCTATCCCTGATATAATGAACGGATACAGTTCAGACACATTCTATCCCTCTTAGTGATGCTAAGCCTAAGAATCTAGGAGTATAGAAACTGTAGCAAAATCCCGTATAAATGGACTGCATAGACCACATGAGCTGTGTTTGGACTTCCCTGTGAATGAGATGGGTCACACCATAAGATGATAGATAGTATCAAAACTTTGCAAAGTTTATAATTAGTGCTACGGGGGGGGGGGGCGGGGGGGAAGTAAGACATTTTTTCCTTGCTCATCAAAAGGTTCGTGGTTGGTAACTTCTAACAAAAGACAGATTAGCAACAGAAAAGTATAGCAAATTTACTTAGTAGAAGTTTCATGAGGCATGCGAGCCTTAAAAGTATGATTAGAACATTTAAAAATATGATATAATGGAAATAAACTTAGGAGGAGGACTTAGTGAGGTTTGTTCAGATTCTTAGTGGCCTCCCCATGTGACATTTTTTTCCCTCTGGGCATTGGTCAGGGCCCCTCTGGAATAAGGGGCTTATTACCTTCTCTCAGAACAGGTAGGTCTGAGAATTCTTTTGTGGACAGCTCTCAGGGGAGAAGGGCAGAAAAAATCAGAAAGTGACCTTTCTACCTCTTCGGTTTTCTCAGTTTTCTTCAGCTTATTTAGTATGTCAAGTTTGCATCTGATGAAAAAGCTGAACACTGTAAAATATTTAAAGAGGTTTATTCTGAGCCAATATGAGTGACGATGGCCAGGGAAAAGCCTCAGAAGATCCTGAGAAAGTGTGCCCAGGGTAACTTCTGTCTCCCTAAAACTTAGGGAAAGAACTTGCAGGCAAAGTCATAAATCAATACATGTAAAATATACATTGTTCCAGCCTGAAAAAGCAGGACATGAAGTGGAAGGCTTATAAGTCATACGTGGATGCAAAGATTTTTCTGATTGGCAATTGGTTGAAAGAGTTAAACTAAAGACTTGAAGTCAGTAGAAAAAAATGTTTGAGTTAAGGTAAGGGAGTTTGTGGAAGCTAAGATTCTTGTTACATATATGAAGCCTCCATGTAGCTGGCTTCAGAAAGAATAGATGGTAAATGTCTCTTTTTGGACCTTAAAAGGTGTGAGCCTCACAGTTTATCTTTCCTAGATCTGGAAAAGGCCTAGCTGCACTAATGGCAGATGCAAAATTTCCCCCACAAAAGATAGCTTTGCAGGGCCATTTCGAAATCTGTCATATAAATATATTTTGTGGTAAAATATTTTTATTTCTTTCAGTGTCTACTATCTGTCATGTGATGCTATATGGGAGTCAGGTTGGAATTTGGTATCTTATTGTTTTGTCAGTCCTGTGATCTCTATTTTAATGTTAATTCCACAATGGAGGGAGTGCAACAAGGTGTGCCCAATCCCCCTTCCCTCATGGCCTGAAATTTACTTTTTCAGATTGCTCTCAGCTCCACTGGCCAAGAAGGGGGATCCATTCAGTTGATTGGGCGGCTTAGGATTTTACTTTTAGATTTCATCAAGAAGCCATATTTGGAAGGATCATGTTCTGAACCCTGACAGAGGAGTTTAAAATTTTTCACATCTGTCTATTAACTCATCATAGACTAAACTAGTTTATGCAGTTAAATAAAATAATGAACTATTTCAAAACAAAATTTGACTCTAGTAGACAGTGTCTGCACAATCATAGCAATCCAGTTGTGAAAAATGTTATAAAAGAACCAAGAAATAACCATGTGACTACAAAACAATGAGGGATTAGGCATCAGAAGACTGAAAATAAGCAACATAGTTGAGTGTACTCTATTTTCCATCTCTCTCATTTTATTGTATTTACTCTTGCATTCCATGAGACAGTGTTTCTGCCTCTATCCAAAATTAGACCTCCTACTTGGGCTTTGTGTTGCAACCTCAGAAAATAATAATAATAATAATAATAAATCCCAAGCCCTGTCATTGACTGATTGGAAACTCTCTTGCCCAGGGAGATCTCAAAGAAATCTGAAAAACTAGTTCAGGCCATGCGGGAAGGGAGGTCAGACATGACTCCTTGTATGCCATCCCTTTGGAGTTTAGGCAAAACTGACCAGTATTGACATTAACACAGTGATTATAAGACTGACAAAACAGACTGTAGCAACAATAGCAGATTCCAACCTGACTCTGGTGTAGAATCACATGACAGGTAACAGGCCCTGAAGGAAATAAAATATTTTACCCCAAAATGTATTTCTTTGACATGTTTTGGAATGGCCCTGCAAAGCCAATTCTTCTGGGGGAAATCTGAATTCTGTATAGAATTTGCTTCCCTTTCTAAGTCCTCGTGAGGATCCAGAAAACATTTAACTAAGAGTCTGACACCTTTTACCATCTATCCTCTCTGAAGCCTGCTACTTAGAAGCTTTCATAGGTTGATTAAAAAATTCTTGACTGGCAGTTGGTTGAAAGAGTTAAACTAAACACTTGAGGTCTCTAGCATTACCATTGAATGCTAAATGACTGACCAGCATTAACATTAAAACAGAGATCATGAGACTGACAAAACAGATTCTAGGTGGTAATAAGATACTAAATTTCAACCTGACTCTCATATAGCACCACATGACAGATAGCAAACCATGAAGTAAATAAAAATACTTTACCCTGGAACATACTTATTTGACAAATTTTGAAATGGTCCTGCAAAGGTATCTTTTGTGGGGGAAATTTTGCATCTGTAGAGAAACTTGATTAATGCCGCTAAGCCTTTTCCAGATCCAGGAGAGAGTAAATGAGAGTCTGACATCTTCTAAGGTGCAAGAGAGACATTTGTCAACTATTCTTTCTAAAGCCTGCTACATGGAAACTTCATCTACATAACAAGAACGTTGGCTTCCAGGACCCCGTTATCTTAACTCGAGCATTTCTTTCTATAACAAAAACCTTGGCTTCCACAACTATGTAATCTTAAGCATTCCTTTCTACTGACATTTTAAGTCTTTAGACAAAGCTTAACTCAAACAGTTGCCAATCAGAAAATCTTTGAATCTATTTTTGACTTGTAAACCTTGACTTTAAGATGTCTAAACTTTCTGGAACCAATGTATATCCCTCATGTATTGATTTATCTCTTTGATTGTAACTTTTGTCTCCCTAAAATGTATCAAACCAAGCTATAACCCAACCACATTGGGCACATATTCTCAGGACCATCTGGGGCTGTGTCCTGGGCCATTTGGCTCAGAATAAACCTCTTCAAATATTTTAGAGTTTCACTTTTCTTCATCAACATTATTTGGTGCCCAATGCAGGACCTCAGAGAAGACTAAGGACTCTTCTCCCCAAAAGGAGTCATGTGAACTTGGAAATAAGGTACCAATTTGGGCTTGTTACCAGTGGAAAGTCTTGACTACAAGTTGTCCAGGTCCTGCTCCCAGACCTTGGTGTTTTCTCTTTTAGGAAGTTAGCATAAATTGGCCTTAAGTTCCCTGTCTCCAGGTCTCCAGACCATATTCTCCTGCTGCAGGCTTATTGAAAGCCTCCTGACTTTGAGGTTCTCCATAGGTGGAACTGGTAAGTAAGTACTCCTGAGCCACAGATCCCTTATGTAGTTAATAGTACTTTGGTTTATTCTGAGCTGGTCTTTTCCTGGGAACTTGTTTCAGATTCTAATTTTGGATTCACAGGTTCATTCTAGAGTTTTCTCCATTGCTTTTTTCTCCAAAAATTAGTCTCAATTGGTTCATCTGTGCATTTGCTTGAAAAACCTGATGTTTGTATAAGTGAATGAGAGACAACTTCTGAGCCCCACTGCACTGAAACCCACGCTACAGTCTGGCTCCTCCACTAAAAAACAAACAAACAAAAAAAAAAACTTGCAAAGCAAATTCTCAAAGATTGAGAAAAGACAAGGAGATGACCTCCTTTGGGGCACCCCTGGGGGTTTTATGGCACTCTACTTGCAAATGTTTGTGTAAATGTGAAGGTTTGAGAGCATGCTTGGTTTTCTAGTACTCTGGCTGGTTATGTATTATAGTCTGTTCTGGCACATTTTTAAACTGATGGGTAAATTCAGAGCTCAAAGTTGACCTGCAACTATAGAATTAAATATAGCATCTCCTAAATTCTCAATTTCTCTATTTTATTTTTCTGTTTTAAATGTACTGTTGCTTTTCTACTGGTTTTGAGATAAAACCCATTGTTTAAATTAAACCATCTTTTGCAAGCTGGTGAATCTGTATTGCTGTCTTGTGACTAGAGTTCTGAAATAAAACCTATGGGATCTTTGTATCTGTGTATCTATGTTGAGTTGTGTTTATGTTACATGTACATGTATTTTCTTATATGTTGTAACTGCAAGGTATCAAATGGGCTTAAAAATAAAGGATTACTCATAAAGTCCAAATGCTCTTCAAGTTCACATGACAAGTAAATCTTCAATAAATAAGCTGGCTTTATAATTATTAGTAAAATAAAATTTGAAATGCCTTCAGAATTGTCAGCATACATTTTTGTCTGGATTTATTGGTGAAATAGTTTTATATTTAGCGGTGTTTGTATTATAAGGTACCAAACTTTGTCATGAAGGTTATAAAACTTTAAAACCCATCCCTTAATGATCATTGTGTAATTTTTTATAAATAAGACATTTAATACTGTTGATTTATTGAAAATAGGTAAAACCTTAGTGGTTGGCCAAAAAAAAATCAAATAAACATATATTTAACATTTGGTTCTTATGTAGGTAAACACCTGAAATATTCACAGCCTATAAGAATGGTTAGCTGAAAAATAACTTTAATGATGACTAGCTTTGTCTAATATGTCAGTTTTTGTAAGTAACCTAGGAAAACTGTTTTAAAAAATAAATTAGGTAGCTTTAATGGCATAAATGCTTATAAATGAACTTGTCATATAATTTAAAATCTTAAAGTTAAAGTAAATAATACTCATTAAGTGTCTGGATCATTTCTAATTTAAAAAACAGAAAAACATATTTCTAAAATAATATAAAATGGTTCTCATCTATAAAATACTGATATATGACAGACAATTCAAGATTTACTACTTCCTAGGTTTTCACAAAAATTTAAGGTTCTAAGAATAAAAATTCTAGTTAATATATAATTCTGTATTTAGAGAGTACCAAAGTAAATATTTTTATGGAAAAGAAATTATAATAAAGACATAAAAATATGTTCTTATTAAAAGGAAAATAATCTTTGTCAAATTCAAAGGCTATTATACAAATCCAAAGATGTATTTATTTTTAAAAATGGGTAAAAAGTATAATTTTGTATGAGAAAGAGACTTGTATAGTAAATGTAGTTCTAAAATAAAACAACTCATTATTTAAGAGGGAAATTTTGGACAAAACAGAAAGTCCAAGTATGTCATAAATAGTCTGTGTAAGATATGATAAGGTTTATAAAGAGAATTTATGAAAGAAAAGTTTTTGGAGACTAAAGCTACTCTTTCTTAGATGGGAGGCTCAAGTAACTCCATCTTGAATGGTGATCTGCCCTATTGGCTTCTGATTAACTCCAGGGGGGAAGGCCTTTAAGATTTCCAGTTTATTTATTGCTCCTCGTGTAAGAACAGGTACTTATTATAAATCCTGCCCTTAGGTCAAACAACTTTTATGTTATCATACTTCAATTGTCCTACACATGCCTTCTGAATCATTCCTTCCCTATGGCATATAAGTCCTGGGTTTTGGGGTTAATGGCACAGGAATTTGCCATCTCATCTCACTGCTGCCTGAGACACACACATGGCTTCTGTTCATAAGTCCCTATTAATTGTTTCTGCCTAAGAAACTGTATTTATCAGCCTCTATCTTCAGCATCTCAGCTTCCTCCAACTTTGGATAGGTTTGTATAGACCTGCTCATTGTGAAACAATTTTGTATGTGACTAAGTTGTCGATAACTTAAAAAGAATTATTTGTATTAGTGTTTCTAGAGATTGGGATTTAATATTAAAAATACACAAATAGAAAAACTACCTATAGGGTACTATGCTTATTACTTGGAAGATGAAATAATCTGTACACCAATCCCTTGTGACATGCAATTTACCTATATGACACCTACACAAGTACTTCTGAACCTATGTAATTGGATTGTTTGTAATGCAAAGGATAAATGCTTAAGAAGATAAATGCCGCATCCTCCATGATGGGCTTATTTCACACTGCATGCCTGTATCAAAACATCTCATGTATTCCACAAATATATACACCTAACATATACCCACAGAAATTTTGAAAAATAATTTGTGGATTAAAACCAAAATGACACTCTAAAAAAATTAATTTTTTATGTAGCAGTATTCAGATGTGGGGCCTTTAAGAGGTGATTTGGTTGTGAGGCCTCTGCTCTCATAAATGAATTAATTAATTCATGGATTAATGGATTATCATAGAAGTGAGATTAACTTTATAAGAAGAAGAGAGATCTTGGCTAGCACATCAGACTGCTCAGCTCCCTCATCATGTAATGTCCTGTGCCACCTCATGCTCTGCAGGGAATCCACACTGGCAGAAGTGTCCCCACTGGTCCACCTGAGGCTCTGCAGGGAGTCCCCGCTGGCAGAAGGGTCCCCACTGGTCCACCTTAGGTTCTGCAGGGAGTCTGCGCTGGCAGGAGGGTCCCCACTGGTCCGCCTGAGGCTGTGCAGGGAGTCCGTGCTGGCAGGAGGGTCCCCACTGGTCTGCCTGAGGCTCTGCAGGGAGTCCCCGCTGGCAGGAGGGTCCCCACTGGTCTGCCTGAGGCTCTGCAGGGAGTCCACGCTGGCAGGAGGGTCCCCACTGGTCCGGCTTAGGCTCTGCAGGGAGTCCCTGCTGGCAGGAGGGTCCCCACTCATCCACCTGAGGCTCTGCAGGGAGTCCCCGCAGGCAGGAGGGTCCCCACTGGTCCCCCTGATGCTCTGCAGGGAGTCCCTGCTGGCAGGAGGGTCCCCACTCATCCACCTGAGGCTCTGCAGGGAGTCCCTGCAGGCAGGAGGGTCCCCACTGGTCCCCCTGATGCTCTGCAGGGAGTCCGTGCTGGCAGGAGGGTCCCCACTGGTCCTGCTGAGGCTCTTCAGGGAGTCCCTGCTGGCAGGAGGGTCCCCACTCATCCGCCTGAGGCTCTGCAGGGAGTCCCCGCAGGCAGGAGGGTCCCCACTGGTCCCCCTGATGCTCTGCAGGGAGTCCCTGCTGGCAGGAGGGTCCCCACTCATCTGCCTGAGGCTCTGCAGGGAGTCCCCGCAGGCAGGAGGGTCCCCACTGGTCCCCCTGATGCTCTGCAGGGAGTCCGTGCTGGCAGGAGGGTCCCCACTGGTCTGCCTGAGGCTCTGCAGGGAGTCCGTGCTGGCAGGAGGGCCCTCGCTGCATGTGGACCCTTGCCCTTGGACTTCTCAGCCTACATAATTGTAAGGAATAAATGTATTTTCTTTATAGAAAATGAACTAAGAGAATGTTATGGGTTTTCATAAAAGTGAATTTTTAAAATTCCTCATATTAGGAAACATAAAGAGGTAGTGGAATATTTATTTAAATATTGTTTTAACATAAACCCTACTATTTAATTATTCTACATATGCGCATTTTATGTGTGTTAACTAGAAACAGGGCTAGGCAGCCTTAGTGGAACTATGGTCTATTTCAAACTAAAATCTATGTATTAATATATTTATTAAATAGTAGTACTTAATGAAATTACTGAAGCTTTCTAGTGTCATAAACTGATGAAAATATAAGAGTTGGACAAGAGAGGGAGAGGTGTTTTCTCATCAACAGATTGGTTCATTTTGGACATTACATGGCAATGGAAAGGAAGGTGTAGTTCCCTGCCATGGTTTTAGCACAACTCTTTGAAAACACAAGCAGCAAAGTTGCCACTGTGATTCAGTGATTGAGAAAAAATTACTTAAATATTCTGAAATTTTAATAACACGTTAGGAATAAATGTTATATACTGTTTTTACATATAAAAAATAAAATTGATTACAGCTGTAGAAAATGAAACTCTAAAACAACTAGAAAATATATGGGTAAAGATTTGTCTAATGTATAAACAAAGACAACAAACAAAATACCATGTATTCATGGATATAAAGATGTCAACAATTGAAACCAGGGACTGCTAGATGGGGAACGAGTCGGGGGAGATAAAGGTTAGAAAGCTAACTACTGGGTGCTATGCTCAGTTCTTGGGTAATGGGATCACCCATAACTCAAACCTCAGCATCACACGCTATACCCAGGTAAGAAACCTGCACATGTACCCCCTGAATCTAAAATGAAAGTTGAAAAAACAAAGTAAATACTATGGAAAATAAATTAGGATTTGAAAAGAGAAAAAATATATATATATATATATTTGGGAATTAAAGAGTAGATTATTATTTTACTTGGAAAATTTTTTTGGATCTATGACAAAGCAAAAGATAAAGATTAGTAACATATAGCCATCACTTAGATATTATTAATATCAGAATAATGTAGACATATTTTTTAATTGCACACTTTACTAAAAAAGAATTTGCAGATAACACAAATACAAGACATTAATGATAAAAATGTAAACTATATCCAGAATATCTACAACAAGATCTCACTCTTACTGCTGAATTACAGAAAGAAAAAAAATAAATGATCATCAGTACTGTTGTGAATAAAGTAAAAAGATGTCACCAGGTTCTGCCCTCTGTCATGATAGATTGTTGAGAGGAAGCAACTTGGATATATAAATTAGAAATGAACACTTTTTTATTTAAAGACCTATCACAAAGAGAATCGAGGAATTCTTTACATAGATATTCATTTCAGTGTTGTTTTAGATAAGCAAAAATTTTAATAAGCCTACATTTAAAATAAGAGAAAAATGTTTTATAAATTCTGTTTCAAAGGCAAAATGTTATGAAACTTTAAATTATATCCAAAAATGTAATATTTCTTAAAGTAACTAAAGACATGAGCCTCTGTACACAATTTTATTTATGCAGATATAGAGCTATATATGGCATGATTCTATAGTATATATAGAATCTATGGTATATTCTATATGATATATAGTATATATACTTCTATAGTATATATAGAATATAAAAAAGATACTATATATTATCCATATTATATATTAAAAATATATATTGAAAATAAATTTTTATAGGAAATATATTTGATGATGGTATTGCAGATAACTTTATTTCTTCTTTTTGCTTCATATATATGTTAAATTACCTATGGTGCTCATAAACTGCATTTACAGAGCAAAAAAAGATATTCCACAAATATAATCAATGTAATCAAAACCACATAATGGCATTGACCTGAATTTATTATTTTTTACATGAGGAAAAACTGAACACATAATATCATTTCAAAAACAAAAGCTGGGTGGACATCTTGAACATTCTTGTCCAAATGCCACAGTCTCAGGCCCTATTGCCTTCTGAGCCAAGTTGAGGTAAGTAGATATACTAGAATGCTGTGGAAACTGAGGTAATGAAAGAAGTGATACAGTTTAAGGAGACAGAACGGGCATTGTGTAGTTAATTCAGCGTGACTTGCAGACTTAACAATGCGATAAGTTCATGGTCATGGTCACAGAAACATGAAAGAGAAACTGAGTTCAGCTGACGTACCTGACCACATCCAGTGCACATGACCCTCGCTTTTTCCTGGCCATGCTGGATTTCTTGGAGCTGACACACTTCCTCAGCAGAAAACTCTCTCCTCTTTTAGTTATCCCTGAGTGAAATGATCCTCATCTGGTTCCTGCATCCTTCACTGCTGTCCTTAATTACAATACCCTGACCTTTTATGTATAAAACTGGTCATATGAAATAGTAGAACCCATTTATTTGTCCTTTCTTTGCTCTTGGCGTCTCTCTCTTCCACAGGCCTGTGAGCTCTATAGGAGGAGGGATATCATCTCTCTAGTTCACAGTATCTCCCCACATTATAGCACAATGCCTAGAGCATGGCAGTCACAGAATGCATACCTATGACACTGCTGAGTAGAAGTAGTCTCCCATAGTGCTCCCCAGACACAGAATATATACCTATGACATTGCTGAGTAAAAGCAGTCTCCCGTAGTGCTCCCCAAACACAGAACACATACCTATGACACTGCTGAGTAGAAGCAGTCTCCCATAGTGCTCCCCAAACACAGAATACATACCTATGACACTGCTGAGTAGAAGCAGTCTCCCATAGTGCTCCCCAGACACAGAATATATACCTATGACATTGCTGAGTAAAAGCAGTCTCCCATAGTTCTCCCCAGACACAGAATACATACCTATGACACTGCTGAGTAGAAGCAGTCTCCCATAGTGCTCCCTAGACACAGAATACATACCTATGACAGTGCTGTTGAGTAGAAGCATTCTCCCATAGTGCTCCTCAGACACAGAATACATACCTATCACACTGCTGAGTAGAAGCAGTCTCGCATAGTGCTCCCCAAACACAGAATACATACCTATGACACTGCTGAGTAGAAGCAGTCTCCCATAGTGCTCCCCAGACACAGAATACATACCTATGACACTGCTGAGTAGAAGCAGTCTCGCATAGTGCTCCCCAGACACAGAATATATACCTATGACATTGCTGAGTAAAAGCAGTCTCCCATAGTGCTCCCCAGACACAGAATACATACCTATGACACTGCTGAGTAGAAGCAGTCTCCCGTAGTGCTCCCCAGACACAGAATATATACCTATGACATTGCTGAGTAAAAGTAGTCTCCCGTAGTGCTCCCCAGACACAGAATACATACCTATGACACTGCTGAGTAGAAGCAGTCTCCCATAGTGCTCCCCAGACACAGAATACATACCTATGACACTGCTGAGTAGAAGCAGTCTCCCATAGTGCTCCCCAGACACAGAATATATACCTATGACATTGCTGAGTAAAAGCAGTCTCCCGTAGTACTCCCCAGACACAGAATATATACCTATGACATTGCTGAGTAAAAGCAGTCTCCCGTAGTGCTCCCCAGACACAGAATACATACCTATGACACTGCTGAGTAGAAGCAGTCTCCCATAGTGCTCCCTAGACGCAGAATACATACCTATGACAGTACTGTTGAGTAGAAGCAGTCTCTCGTAGTGCTCCCCAGACACAGAATTCATATCTATGACACTGCTGAGTAGAAGCAGTCTCCCATAGTTCTCCCCAAACACAGAATACATACCTATGACACTGCTGAGTAGAAGCAGTCTCCCATAGTGCTCCCCAGACACAGAATACATACCTATCACACTGCTGAATAGAAGCAGTCTCCCATAGTGCTCCCTAGACACAGAATACATACCTATGACAGTACTGTTGAGTAGAAGCAGTCTCCCATAGTGCTCCCCAGACACAGAATACATACCTATCACACTGCTGTTGAGTAGAAGCCATCTCCCATAGTGCTCCCCAAATTTTCCATTCTTCAGTCACTTTCAAAAATATAACATTTAAAATTTACGCTCTCCCTCTCCCCTCTCCCCTCTCCCCTCTCCCTCTCCCTCTCCCTCTCCCTCTCCCTCTCCCTCTCTTTCCACGGTCTCCCTCTGATGCCGAGCCGAAGCTGGACTGTACTGCTGCGATCTCGGCTCACTGCAACCTCCCTGCCTGATTCTCCTGCCTCAGCCTGCCGAGTGCCTGCGATTGCAGGGGCGCACCGCCACGCCTGACTGGTTTTCGTATTTTTTTGGTGGAGACGGGGTTTCGCTGTGTTGGCCGGGCTGGTCTCCAGCTCCTAACCGCGAGTGATCCGCCAGCCTCGGCCTCCCGGAGGTGCCGGGATTGCAGACGGAGTCTCGTTCACTCAGTGCTCAATGGTGCCCAGGCTGGAGTGCAGTGGTGTGATCTCGGCTCGCTACAACCTCCACCTCCCAGCCGCCTGCCTTGGCCTCCCAAAGTGCCGAGATTGCAGCCTCTGCCCGGCCGCCACCCCGTCTGGGAAGTGAGGAGCGTCTCTGCCTGGCCGCCCATCGTCTGAGATATGGGGAGCTCCTCTGCCCCACCGCCCCGTCTGGGAGGTGAGGAGCGTCTCTGCCCGGCCGCCACCCCGTCTGGGAAGTGAGGAGCGTCTCTGCCTGGCCGCCCATCGTCTGAGAAGTGAGGAGCCCCTCTGCCTGGCAGCCGCCCCGTCCGGGAGGGAGGTGGGGGGGTCAGCCCCCCGCCCGGCCAGCCGCCCCGTCCGGGAGGTGAGGGGCGCCTCTGCCCGGCCGCCCCTACTGGGAAGTGAGGAGCCCCTCTGCCCGGCCAGCCGCCCCGTCCGGGAGGTGTACCCAACAGCTCATTGAGAACGGGCCGGGATGACAATGGCGGTTTTGTGGAATAGAAAGGCGGGAAAGGTGGGGAAAAGATTGAGAAATCGGATGGTTGCCGTGTCTGTGTAGAAAGAAGTAGACATGGGAGACTTTTCATTTTGTTCTGTACTAAGATAAATTCTTCTGCCTTGGGATCCTGTTGATCTGTGACCTTACCCCCCAACCCTGTGCTCTCTGAAACATGTGCTGTGTCCACTCAGGGTTAAATGGATTAAGGGCAGTGCAAGATGTGCTTTGTTAAACAGATGCTTGAAGGCAGCATGCTCGTTAAGAGTCATCACCAATCCCTAATCTCAAGTAATCAGGGACACAAACACTGCGGAAGGCCGCAGGGTCCTCTGCCTAGGAAAACCAGAGACCTTTGTTCACTTGTTTATCTGCTGACCTTCCTTCCACTATTGTCCTATGACCCTGCCAAATCCCCCTCTGCGAGAAACACCCAAGAATGATCAATAAAAAAAATAAAAATAAAAAAAATAAAAAAAGTAAAAAATAAATTTACATCTCAGTTTTCTTTCACTTAGTAGCATTTTTGTATCCAATGTCTCTTGTGTTTTTGACTTCCTCTGAACTATTCTACAATTCTTGGAAGACAGAAAATTAATATTCAAGGGCAATGTTCCCCACATTCAATGTCCCTGATTGATATTATTCATCGAAGACTGCTACATCATCTTTTCTCCCTGCCATAAAACAGGGTTTTAAAACAATCGCAGATTTCACAATATTGTCACTTGGATGAATTACTATTTTTCAATGATACTTCCTGGTTGATAATTATTGATTATTGTGGTTTTTGCCATTAAAAGCAATGGCAAAAATTGCAATTACTTTTTCACCAACCTAATACTTCTTCAGTCACTCAAAAATACTGTGCTCAGGGTCTCACTGATTAGAGTGCATACTGGGAGCAGTCAGGTCTTGTTTATGCAATGATCTCCATTTCATGCATTCCTATTAATATCACCAAAGGATACAAGATAATACCCTGCTACTTTAGGGGATAACAGTATAGATACATGAAAGATAAAGTTTGCATTCAATATTTTATTCCAAATATTTTATAGAGCTACTACATAATGACAAAAAGGACAATAAGGCAGGAACATATAAATAAGCTAAGGTATCTAATGTAGTCATGAGGGTGTCCACAGGGGATGTTGTGATAACAGATTTAATGTCTTTGAGGACATTCCATTCAACATCAGAATATACTTTTATTTCAAAGACTCATGAATAGTCAGCAAGATAGACCATTTCACAGATCATTAAATAAACCTTAACAAATTTAAAAGATTCTAAATCATGTGCAATGTTTTCTCTGGCAACACTGAATCAAATTGGAAGTCAATTACACGAAAACAACTGGAAAAATCTGTAACTACTTGGAAATTAAACAATATGTTTCTAAATAATCCACAGGACAAACAGGAAGTCTCAAAGGAAAATGTTAAGAAATTTATGAAGTTTTAATTCTATTTTTAAATTACACGCATATTTCATTAATTATAGTTGTTGTATGTGCTATGAAATAATTTCAGGTTACCTACAAAGCCTTAATTCTAAATCCAGCTAAAGTATCATTCAAAAATAAAGGCAGAGAACACAAGAAATTTTCAGATTTCTTTTTTTAGACAAGAGTTTTTACCATTGTCTGAAGGAACTATTATATTTAAAGCATAAATACACAAAGGCCAACAGTTTGGGAAAGAAGATAACAGCAAGAAATTTTTGGAGGCTGAAAAAAAAATAATTAGAATTGGACTTCTTAGATCTAAAAAAGCTGAATATTAATGTGGTCATAGAAGCAGCTCAGAAGCTTGCAGAATTATACTAGAAGAATCCCTCCAAAAGCTTGAAGTTGAAGTAATCAAGTACCTCTAAACAGTTCAAATAGGAGGCTTGTCTAAAATTTGTATAAAAAGCTGTTAGATCCTGATCCTTGTAACTACTTCATGTAGGTGAGCAGCTACTCCTGCCCCAAATGGTACAACCCTAGAAATTTACTTAATGGAAATGTTGAATGCCAGGGGCTCTGGATCAAGAAAAATATGAATGACACAAGTACATAAGTGAAACTCTGTATAAAATTAGGAGAAGCTGGGTGAGCACTACATAAAAACTCTGTACAAATTTTGCAGCTTTTCTGAATACTTAAAGTTCAACGTAAGCATTAAAAAATTAGAATAATGTTAATATTTTTGGTGGGGAGTGTGTGCTGATTGGGAGGAGTGGCAAGAGGGCTTCCGTGATGGTGATGTTCTGTCGCTTGATGTTTAGTACTAATATAATATATATTGTAATATATATTAGTATGTTTAGTACTAATATATGTAATATAGCTATATGCTATATTATACTATGTGCTTTATTATACTACTTAATATTAAAAGGGATTAAAAACCATTTATAATGTGCTTGTCTTTCTTAGAAGCCCTGTTGCCTCTTTCATTAAGTGATGAGTCAACTTGCTCCCTAAAATTCCCTTAAAATAGTCCTTGACCTCAAGAACCCTGAGTAGTCACTCAGGAACACTCACACCTGCTCTGGTGGGACAGGTGTCATTTGAGCCTTATCAGGTATAGCTGGTCCTGAGTCCACCTCCATAAATTTCAGGTCTAGAAGCTGAAGAAAGCTAGCACATTTTCCCCATCCTGGGCCATTGGCTTCTCTGACATCAGGGTCATAAGACTGAGGGTGAAAGTACTTGCTTATCTAGGACTGTATTTAAGTAAAAATATTAATCCATGGCAAATTATCTTATAGTTTCAGATGTTCATCTTATGAGAGAAAAACAGTGATAGCTTAATAACAAAGGTTTTATTATGCAATAAAACATTTACATTCATTTAGAATTATAAACAATATTTAATGTTTTAAATGTACTTTCAAGAACAGGAAAAAACACATATTAAGCATTCAAGTAAAATTTTATATAAAATAGTTGCAAATAGATAGGTCTAAGCAAAGAATTCTTTCTCCTGTGTTGTAGCACTTTGAGTAACTTTTTTCCTTGTTTTATAAAATTAAAGCAGGACAGTTTTTAAGAAAGACATTTAAAGCAATAAACATCTATTACATTGATAACTACAAAAGCATAGTTAAAAATGAGAAAAAATAATTTTACAAATTTTTATTTGGCAGCATATCGAAGAATTATATTTACAGAATTTTATGTTTTATTGTATTTTCCCAATTGTTTGCAATCTCTCTGGAAAGTAAAAGTGAGATTTGGGATGTAAAGTCCAGTGCCTAATGGAGAGGTCAGCCTCACACACAACTGCGATGGGCTAATGACAGTTCACACATCAAGACTCTTATCCTGAACCAACTAAGAATATCAGTGTTTCCACGAATCCTCTTCCCATCCCATCAAGTGAAAATCAGGAATAGCCAGTGTACATTTCACGAGCCCAGTCACCTGAGAATGGCAGACAGCCCATGTGCCAAGGGACTCACGCTCAGGTGTTCTGACAAAATAATGACAATGGCGATGATGATAATCACCAGCAGTGACCAAGAACTCAGACCCAGGAAAGAGCTCTGTATGTATTAACACATTGAATATTAACACAGGTGTAGAAACTGAGGCACTAAAACCCAGGAAAGAGATCCGTTTCTATCAACACATTGAATACTAACACAAATGCAGAAACTGAGGCACTCAGTGACAATCTCAGTAGATGCATTGATGGAAATTGTGTTAATTTCCTGACAGATTTCTAAAAATAACTAAGTGAAAGAGAAATATCCTTAAAATATTTGGCAAAATCTAAAACATACGTTCCTGTTCTAATAACCCTTCTGCTTGTTTTATGTTCTTTTTTGTTGACTGGCTAAATCAGGTACTAAAACTGTGTGCGTGTGTGTGTGTGTGTGTGTGTGTGTGTATGTGTGTGTCCTCTTCCAAAAAATTCATACTAACAGGAGTGCAAGGCTACAGGTTCAAGATGAGGTAATTAAAGCAGTTCGAACATGTGTGGAATGGGAAGGAATAAATCACCACAACAAGCTGCAGTTACACAACCTTGAAATATTTTATGAAGGTACTTTTATACTTTTATACTTTTAGTTTTTGAAGAAACATTTGCATTTCTATCTACATATAGTAGTGCAAATATTGTCTTTCTCCCATTCAACAGGTTTTTTTTTTCAGGATTTTTCATCATTTCATCAACAATTTTTTCATCTTTTTTTGTCATAAAGTATTTATGCTTTTTTGGGGTTTTGTTGCAGATCTTCTATAGTAAAGACCAGGATGTTCTACTTTTGCAGAAAATATATCTTCACAAAGAGTCTCCACATGGCTGTTTTAATCTCCTTATTCCTAAGACTATATATGATGGGATTGAGGAAGGGAGGCAAAACTGTGTATGTCAGAGCAATCACTAAATCCTGAATGGACAGAGCTTTTGCAATTGGTCCTAAGGCAGCAAAGAGCCCTGTGGTAAGAAAGAGCATGATGACAATGAGCTGGGGGGAGCAGGTGGAGAAGGCTTTTGCTCGACTCTGTCCTGAAGGGATTCTGAGCACCGTTGAGAAGATTTGGAAATAGGAGATCATCATGAGAATAAAGCATCCCAGAACCAAGCATGAGCTCAGGGCCAGGGTCAAAAACTCTACAAAGAAAACCTCACAGGAAACCAGGGCCAACACATGAGGGATGTCACGGAAGAACTGGTGGATCACACTGGATCTGCAAACGTGCTCCCGAAACATGTTGCCAGTGTGGACGGCTGCGTAGGAAAAGCAGCTTAGCCAGGTGGTGACTGCCATCTGATAGCACCCTCCTGATGTCATCACGGCTCTGTATTGGAGGGGGTGGCAAATGGCAACATAGCGGTCATAAGACATGACAGTAAGGAAGGCCAGCTCAGCAGATGCAAAGGCAGAGAAAAAATAGACTTGAGCCACACAGCCAAGATAAGAGATGGAGCTTCTGCGAGTCAGGGAGTTACGGATGGATTTAGGCACAGTGACTGAGATGTAGCACAGATCCAAAACGGAGAGGTTCTTCAGGAAGAAGTACATGGGTGTGTGAAGATGCTGATCGAGAGTGATGACTGCAATGATGAGCAGGTTCCCCACCAGCACTGCCAGATAAATCAGCAGAAACAGCCCGGCGTGCAGCACCTGCAGCTCCCAGATACCAGAAAACTCCATCAGCAGGAATTCTGTCACTTTTGTGAGATTGTCCATTTGGCAGGGAAATCTGTGATCTGATTGTTGAGAAAAAATATACAATAGTTTTAAATGAGACAAAAAGTGAACACAGTGTGGTAGGAGTAATATCCTCCTAAATTAAATTCAATCCACTGGACATCTTCCACACTGCTTAAACAAATAAAATGGTGGGAGATTTTTAACATGGAAAGATCATAAAAAATATATGCCTAAGACTATGAGTTGAGTAACCAATTTCTAAAAGCTTTTGATTAGTACTGTTTTTCTATTATATGGAACTTCTCAATCTTGAAATTAAGATTTTTCTCATCAAATAATCTAGGGTGCTTATTAAATATGCAGAATTTCAAGTCTCAAGGCAAATATACTAAATAAAAATTTGTGGGATAAAACCAATAATTTGCTTTTCATACAAGTTTCTGGGTGATTTTTTAGTACAAAAGTTTGTAGTTTTAACTGTGGTTATACATCCTGGGCAGAGTCAACTGTCTTTAGCTATTTGTTGAATAAATTGGGTGGTAAGCCACTTTAAAATGAGGATTTACTGTTTAAGACATGGAATGAGTATGGAATATGATTTTAAAACCATTGATAATTAGCTCTGGTTTGGAGAGAGGGAAATTTATTTTGTGTCAATGTGCAAGACATGACAATAGTTATACTAACAATGCCATTACCCATGTGTTGCACCTTCTCTGTGCCCGATGCTATTATCTCTACAGGACACACCTTGGCTCAATTAATATTCATAATTGTACAATAAATTAAAATATGCCGTTATTATTCTTTTTCTCAAGATAAAACGGAGGCATAACAAGATCAAATAAGTTGCCCAATGCACTGAAAGAGCCAGCACCTGAGCCAGCATTTAAATCAAGGCAGTTCATTTCCAGGATGTGTTGCTGACCTCTGCATTCTAAGTTTTTTTCATAGAAAATAACTTTGACTAACATAAGCTCACAAAAATAACTTTTTTCTATATATTGTTTATCATATTTTGTTTATTTTCACTGGTATTATCTATATGTTTAAAATTAGTTTTTCTGCATCAAAGTCATGTGTGTTAGATCCTGTTCACATGACTCAAATATTCTCACTAAAAACAACTTATTAATTTTTTTCAAACTAGAGCCAACTTTAAACAAGTGATTTTAAAATCAGGTTACTGATCATCTAAGGTTTAGTTGCCTTATTTCATTAATGATAAACTCTATTAAGCACATAAATGCTATCCCTTGCTACCAGGCAAATGTGAAATGTTATTTATAAGACAGGTAGAACCTATGTTTTATGACAAATTTTAAAGATAATGTGAAATGTTATTTTTTATAGGACAGGTAGAACCTATGTTTAATGAAAAAATTTGAAGATAATCTTTTGTCCAAATGCTATAAATGATACAGTCACTTTGAAGCATTTCATTGTATCATTAAAACAAGTAATTGAAAAGAATTGCACTCTTGGCAAAGCGCGGTGGCGAACTCCTGTAATCCCAGCACTTTCGGAGGTTGAGGTAGGTGGATCACCTGAGGTGAGGAGTTCGAGACCAGCCTGACCAACATGCTGAAATCCCGTCTCTACTGAAAATACAAAATAGCTGAGCGTGGTGGCACATGCCTGTAATCCCAGCTACTCAGGAGGTTGGAGCAGGAGACTCGCTTGAACCTGGGAGGTGGAGGTGGCAGTGAGCCAAGATCGTGCCACTGCACTCCAGCCTGGGCAATAAGGGCATAACTCCATCTCAAAAAGGAAAAACAAAAAGAATTGTACTGTCACACAAAGTCAAGTGACGAGCAATACATATTTACAATGAAAATGACAAAGGAGCACTATCCCTGATAAACGACAAACTATAAAAACACATTAGCATAAACAATGAGCAAAGTATATGAACAAGGGCTCAGAAAACTGGAAAGCTAATGACCCAATAACAATTCAAAATGTGTTCAACTTTACTAGTTATGGAAATGCAAATTAAAACTTTAACATGATGCTATTTTGTGTCCATTGCTTTAGAAAACATATGTCTGGCAAGTAAAGTCTCGACAAACATGTGAAGGGACGAAGCTCTTTGCTGCTGCTTAGTTTGCTGTGTAAGCAGCCTACCTACTTTGGAGGGTCAACTGGAAATTTTGAACACAACTGAAGATGCGCAAGTTTGATGCAGCAATGCTCCTTCTCACAAATGTACACTTGAGTTTTAAAAAATGACATATGTGAGGATGTTTGCTCCATGACGTTTAAACCCCTAATTACCATCACTAGGAAAATGGATAACATACCCTACTTTATCCCAGAATGGAACACTCTCTAGAAGTTAAACTGAATGGGATACTCTACATCAATATTGAACATTTCAACATAGTTTTGAAAAAACCCCACAAACTATTACACAAAATATGTTCCCAGTCATATGCATTTAAACATTCAAATTGTGCAGTGCATTATTTATAAATACACACACATACATATATATATATATATATATACACACACACACAGATAAGCTTGTATAAAACAGTTACTGGAATGAATACAAATGCCAATAAATGGGGTAGCGGAGGGAAAAAATAAGTTGAAAACATTGAACAGTAATTATATCTGTAATATTTTAACAGTTAAGATCATTAAAGCAAACAAAAATATGAATAAATGATAAGCCTAAGTGCTCGTTCTTAAAAATCATTTGTTATACTCTTTCTAGATTTTGGATATTTCATATTTTTAATATTATTTATACATTAATGTCAAAGAAGCAACTGAAATACTTTTGTGTGTTATAAATTGCTTTTATATTTTATATATTTAAATTGCTTGTAAAATTCAGTGAAAAAAGCTCTCTTTTTTCCACTGTTTTCTTTGACATTATAGATTAAATAAAATACCTCACATATTAAAGTAATAATCTCAAAAAATATGATTAAACATTAATAAAAAAGTAATGGGGACTCAGGTGATTACATTCTGCATATTTTGACATCCATTATAATACTATTTAACAATGCAGAGTAACTTTTAAAACTGGGTTTTTGTTCTGACTTTTTAATAGAACTCAATGAAACAAGTAATAAAATGGTTGTTAATTGGTTTGTATTTAAAATATCTCAACCAAACAACCAAGAATTGCAGCTGTCCCATAAAACAAGGCAAAAGGTTACCCACCCTTCCAGCAGAATCAGCAGTGTACAGGAGTATACTATCTCCCGGGTTAGCTTGCTATCGGTAGATGTAAAATTCTACAAAACTGCCACGTGGCCAATTCCTTGTAATGTATTATCTAGAGAATGAGAAAATAATAATGCTCTTTCCTTGATTCTAACACTCACATTTCTGCACTGCTAAAGGAAAAGCATCATATAATTTATATATAGTTGTGTATATATAGTGCATATATAGTTCGTGTATATATATACATATAAATATACATGTATAGTATATATATACATATATATGTATAGTTGTGTATATGTATACATACATATATATGTATATATAGTTGTGTATATATTTGTGTACATATAGTGTGTATATATAGTTACTGTTTATTGAAAAGTTATTAAATTAATATTTTCCTTGAAAATTGTCTACAATTTGAAATTGAGGACATACAAAACAAATCTATAGGGATGCAAACATATTATCATTATGATATATAAGCATATATACAATACACCTATTCAAAATATTAGGCAAATTGATGTGCATTTATTAACAAAAACTTAGTAGTTAACACATTGGTTAAAAAGACACAATACATTTTCATATACATATGTGCATCATTGATAGATATAAGTTGAAAATTTTGAATATATTATTTTTAACCGTAAAGCATATTGAATTAAATATGTATAAAGATTTCCTGCTTCCAAGTCTGTCTATTTTAAATTCACACATGTGGTATGATGAGTAATAAGATTAAAAGAGACCTGAATTCTTGTCATGTTCTGACACAGCTGTTTTAAGTTGGGGAACCTACAAATACATTTTAATTTCAATTTACTGAAATGTAAAACTACACTCAACAAGATGGCCTCTGCTGCCCCACCTCTGAGAGCATTTGTATCTAATCTATATGAAGCCTTTTTACTTCAGTGTAGTTTTCTCTGAGTGGCCTGATGCTGAAGAGCTGCCCTTTATCCCACTTATATCAAGCAAAAGAGCAACACTGAGGAACAAAACCAATACACACTGCACCATGAGCTGCTTCCACTCTAGTCTCAAACTAAAAATAGATCTCTCCAAAACTGATTAAAATGATAAAAATTCAAGCAAACTGAATGCACTATTTTGTTTGCTTGTTTCATTGGAAAAAAATATGAAACATAATTACTAAGAGAACAATTAAATCACTTTAAGCAAACATGTCTTGATTTTTTTCTCATAAAAAATTTGAAATGATTGCTTACATAAATCTCATGTAGACAAATTCAATTTCCTTATTGGGTAAATATCTGAGAAATACAAGACCAGCAATACCTTGATTAAATAACATGTAGCTTCTCAATATGTATTCACTGTCTGGACCAATGATGATAAAGAAACAGTTCTGAAGTTTTCCTCTGTGTCTCACCAGAAGAAGTGACCCAATTTAACATGCAAACTCAGTGATAGAGAAAACCTGATGTATAATATATCAAGGAGACAATCTTCTCTGTTAGTTTCCCATAGAGACTGGGCCGCCACAGTCTGGAGGAGATTGGCTTCCAGAAGGAAGCCTGGGGGACGCTGGTCTCAGGAGGATGCTGCCTCCTCTGGGTTAAATTGTAAATTACCTGCTGAAACAGAAAGCAGAATATGGAGTAGGTGCCAACTGAACTCAGAGTCCGTGAGGAAGTGATGAGCATGAGATATAGAGATTTTCATTAAGAGAGTGAGGAGAGTAAACAGTGAAAAAAGTAAAGGATTTATATTTTCACATTTCATAAAATAATCTTCGATAAAGTACAAAACCCAGACATTTAAGTACTCAGAAAATAATAAATTGTTTTACTTCATCACTATGCCTAGTCAGTATGCCACATGAGAGCAGTTAAGTGCGTATACTCAGTTTACTTTGCAGTTACAGCAGCCTGTTTCTGTATTGCACATAGACTCTCAGAAAATTATTGGCTTAATGGAGACAATCATCATGCTTCTCATCTTCCTCCAAATCTATTTGTTCCACAACCAGTCACAGACCAAGAGGATGGGTAGATCTCACTAAATACGATCATTTGAAAATTAGAAGTGAATAGAAAAATCTGGCAGAAATTTAGGAGATATATATTTTATCATTTCATTTTTCAAATGAGGAAAGTGAGTCTTAATATAAAAACTTAAGACAAATTAAACTTAGCAGACTTTATTTGATCAAAGAATGATTCATTATCAGATCGCACTACAGATCAGAAGAAATTCAGAGAGCTCTGCCCAGCAGTGTGAACAAGCTTTTATGGGCCAGACATAGGAGCAAAGTAGAAAAATCACCTGCTTGCCTACAGCTAGACATCCGTCTTGTTTGAACATGGTGTTATTTAATTTTGGCAATACTATAAGGCAGTAGAAAAATATTGCACATATGTACATACATCCAGATATAGATAGACATGTAACAGAAACATTACAAATTTTTAGCCATGTGCCAGGTACAATAATACAAATCTCACTAATTTATTAAAGAATATCTGGATCTAAATTGTTTTTGGCTAATGCCACTTAAATGGCTAAAGCTTCTTACTAATATTTGTGAAAAAGATCATTAATGTTTTTTTATTTGCTCAGTTTCCAAATATCTATTTTTCTTACTTCTACTTCTGATGAGTTATCTACCCTAAACTTGCATTTTAAATAGATACCTATTAAACTCTAGAGAAGACTGTGTAGAAAATTTATATCTCAAAAGCACAGAGCTTGGACTTCCAGCTTAAATGCTTTAATTTGCCCAAACCAAGAAAGAAAGATGTAAAGACCCAGTTAGGGCAAGACAGCTAGGAAAAGCACTTTAAAGGCAAGGCTTCTGTAGATTTAAGCCAACGCTTTCTTCCTTATCAGAGTTTCCAGTGTTCTCTGTCCAGAGAGGTAGACCTTCTTACAAATGGAGATTCCCTTTAGGGATGTAAATTTCTCTTACAAAGAGTCCTCAAAATAAGCAGGTGAAAATAGTTTTTCTGCCAAAAAGTTGTATTTTGGAGATTTATTCTGCTAAATCAGTGGTTTTCCAACCCACCTTCTGTCTTTTAACTAAAATACTAAGTGGGTGGAACCCACTGAAGACTAGAACAAATATTTTGTGTGCCTGACTCACCATGGTTACTTCTAATCTTGCTCTATAATCACAGACTGGTACAACTTTTCTCTCCTGTTTTGTTTTCAAGATTGCAAGACTGAATAATATTTCCCCCCACCCACCAGAAAGAGTTTGGGGCATAGCAAAGATCATGACAACAAGAAAGAATTGGCAGAGTATGTGTTTAGCGGGAAGTTTCATAAGAGGTGTTTCAGTTGACTGCAGGGTTCCCATGGGAGAAGCAGGATTAAAGAGAGAAAACAGAAAAGACTCATTCTTACAAATGTTTTTCTAAATATGATTCAACTGTCAGTCAGATAGCTTCAGGTATGGGGACTTCCACATTTGATTTGAAACTTCCATTTTTTTTCTCTGGGGGATTGGTTGATTATTGCCCAGGGAGTGTAGCCCTTGGGGGCTTTCTCTAGTAGGTAGACAGGCCAGGTCCATCAGATGACTGGTATAGAAATGAAAAATTTCTTATGCAAAGGCCTGACTATTTAAAATACAGGTAAACTTCTTGGGACACGCGGTCCTTTACTTTTGAGGCAACTCCTCTGGGGTTCAAAATAGCTACAAGGAGGTCTTCTCAGTCCCCATAGCTGGCGTATTATAAAGGCATGCACCTCTTTGTCCTTTGTAAAAAGTCTCCCCACTGTGGCCTTTGTAACTTAAAATTACCTTTGGTCAGGTTCACTCATTTTTCTAGAAAAACACATGTTCTGGGTCCATGGTTCTTATACATAAAATATGCTGCAGTCCCACATGGAAGAGTTCTAGAGCCCTTGGATTCAAAAAACACATGATATGCTGTCTTCCAGGAACCTTACCTACCAGAGGCCTCCTACTGGACCCAGTCTGGTTTCTTTACCAGATCCATTCCAATTCTGAACCCAGTCCAGTCAACAAATTGCTCAAACAAAGTTAGAGCTCAAAACATAAATTTGCAGAGTTTGAATCCAAGAGGAAATTTACCCATAATCTTCAGTTGCAGCGTGAGAGCAATGGGCCCTAGTGGGTATCTACACTTGGGCATTCCTTGTTCCGGGGGGCCACTGGGTATCCTTCAAATCTTACTTCTAACACCAAATAGTTAAAAGAAAAACTTTACCAATGAGACAGAAAATTAACAGGCCTATTCAGGACTTGAACTCAGCTCTGGACCAAGCAAACCTAATAGACGTCTACAGAACTCTCTACCTCAAATCAACAGAATATACATTCTTCTCAGCACCACATAGCACTTATTCTAAAGTTGACCACATAATTGGAACTAAAACATTCCTCAGCAAAGGCAAAACAATGGAAATCATAACAAACAGTCTTTCAGACCACAGTGCACCAAATTAGAACTCAGGATTAAGAAACTCACTCAGCACCACACAACTACATGGAAACTGAACAACCTGCTCCTGAATGACTACTAGGTAACTAACAAAATTAAGGCAGAAATAAATAAGATATTTGAAACCAATGAGAACAAAGACACAACACACCAGAATTTCCGGGACACAGCTAAAGCAGTGTTTAGAGGGAAATTTATAGCATTACATGGCCACATCAGAAAGCAGGAAAGATCTAAAATCGACACCCTAACATCAAAATTAAAAGAACTAGAGAAGCAAGAGCAAATAAATTCGAAAGCTAGCAGAAGACAAGAAATAACTAAAATCAGAGTAGAACTGAAGGAAATAGAGAAACAAAGAAGCCTTCAAAAAAACAATGAAATCAGGAGCTGGTTTTTTGAAAAGACTAACAAAATAGATAGACCACCAAGCTAGGCTAATAAAGAAGCAAAGAGAGAAGAATCAAATAGACATAATAAAAAATGGTAAAGGGGATATCACCACTGATCCAACACAAATATAAACTACCATCAGAGAATACTATAAACATCTCTATGAAAATAAACTAGAAAATCTAGAAGAAACGGATAAATTCCTGGACACATACACCCTCCCAAGACTATACCAGGAAGAAGTCGAATCCCTCAATAGACCAGTAACAAGTTCTGAAATCCAGGCAGTAATTAATGGTCTACCAACCAAAAAAAAAAAAAAAAAAAAAAAGCCCAGGAACAGACGGATTCACAGAGGTACAAAGACTAGCTGGTACAGTTCCTTTTGAAACTATTCCAAACAACAGAAAAAGAGGAACTGTTCCCTAACTCATTTTATGAGGCCAGCATCACCCTGATACCATAACCTGGCAGAGACACAACCAAAAAAAAAAAAAGAAAGAAAATTTCACACCAATATCGCTGATGAACACTGATGTGAAAATCCTCAATAAAATACTGGCAAACTGAATCCAGCAGCACATCAAAAAGATTATCCATCACGATCAAGTAGGCTTCATCCCTGGGATGCAAGGCTGGTACAACACATGCAAATCAATAAACACAATCCATCACATAAACAGAACCAATGACAAAAACCACATGATTATCTCAATAGATGCAGAAAAGGCCTTTTTTAAGGCTGAGTAATATTTCATCTTAGGTAGATATCACATTTTCTTTATCCATTTATCCCTTGATGGATATTTAGGTTGCTTCCAAAAAGAATTAGAGCTTCTGCAGCTGCCAGAAAGTAAGCCATCAAAACAGCAGTTGGGTAACAGGAAGAATTCTAACACTCTTGAGCTCATAGGTAGAAGGGACCCTTCATTCATTCAACACACACTAACAATGCATTTATGTCCCAGGTACAGTGCTAAAGGCTGGAAGTATGTGGATCATGCATACATACACAGTCCCTGTCCTTTCAAAGTGTTCAGTCTCAAGGAGGTGTGAGTATGTTAGAAAATATTCTGAGGTGCCAGAATTGCACTAGATGCATTGATGACTTGGAGGGTATTGGTAGGGTAGAATGTTCCCGTCAGAGAATTAAGTATATAGGTACCCTTTCCTCAAAAATGCTTAGACTAGGTAGGGAAGAGGGTGAGGCACAATAGCATATCTTTAATTGGGTGGGGTGAGAACCAAAGAATCGGAAAAACAGACATTCCAGCTCCTCCAAGTTCTTCCAATCGTCAGAACTGTGGAACTAGCCCACCAGGCTTTCTCCAGTCACGTGAGCCGGGAGCCACCAGGATCTCATTGGCCAAGGCTCCCAGAGGGCGGGAAGAGCGGGAAGTGAGGACCAATGGGGCAGGCCAAAGGGACTGTGGAGGCCGACGCATGCGCAGTGCCCTCCGGCCTAGCCCGGCCAACCCGCCTGTCCCGGACCGCCCGGCGTCAGGTACGGGTTCACCAAGCCACCCCGCCCACCTCAGGACGCAGCTGCCGGTCCAGCTGCTCCCGCGGGCCCACAGCGCGCTGTGGAAAGGAGCGGACAGGCCAGAGGCTCTCTCGGGCCTACAAGTCTCTAGGCTAGGCAGTGTTTCCGAGTCCCAGGTGCCTCCAGAGGCCGAGCTCACAGCGCGGCCCACCCAGCATCCGGGGGCGCTGTGAGGGGCGCTCGCCCAGCAGCGGAAAGGCCATTCGCGTGGCGCGGGAGCGCGGGCCCGGCCGCCTGGGCGTGTCCCTTTCGCGGAACTGAGCTCACTGGCTCCTCTCTTCCAGACGGAGCGACGGGGCCGGCCGCAGCCTCAGCCACGCGTCCCTCGGTGGCGGGCAGGCTCCTCTTGGCCTGCAGCCTTACTTTCATGCCCTTCTTCACAGGTGAGCGGATGGCTTGGGGTCCTCCCGCATTTCCCGCAGCGTCGCTCTCTGCATTCCCGCATTCCCAGGTTCCTGCTGCATTCGTGAATTCCCTCCTGCATTCCTGTACTCTCCACTCTTCCAGCCTGCATTCCCACATTTCCACCCTCATTCCTGCATTCCCAACTGCATCCCCCAACGTTGCCACTTTCTCCCCATCGTTCCCACCTGCGTTTCCGCATTCCCACATCCCTGCTCTGATTCCCACCCGCATTTCTGAATCCCCACCTGCTTTCTCTACCCCAGTCCAGCCTTTATTCCGGCATTTCTGCCTTCATTCTCGCGTTCCCAGCCACATTCCCCTTTGCATTCTGCAGACCTCCAATCACCTTTCTTTGTTGGGCAGTGTACTCATCAGCACGGCATAAGGAAAGAGCAGACACGGCTCCTGCCCTCATAATGCTTACAGTCTACAGAACAGTGCTGGGGACACAGTCCTGAGTGTTGCCTTCTGATCAACCACTTAACTGACTGCCTGGCCTCAGGAAAGCAGCTGAGCTTATCTGTTCTTAGGTATCCTTATTAGAGTACTAAGAATATTGGTTCCTGCCTATTATAGTTGTAAGGAACATGTGAGCTAGTAAAGGGCTGACACAATGCCTGGCATGTAATAAGCTCTCATTAAAGAGAGCTTTAATGTTTGTCTGTCTTTCTCCAGAGACCACTTCATGTTGGGAGAATTGTGGGGAGAGAAAATGTTCACCAGTGAAACGTGAATCATGAGCCCTCATCCAAGTAGTTCTACTTCCCCGATTTCCCTGAAGGTTATAGGGTACTGTGTGAGCAGCCTCTAACTCTCCCTGGTTGTTCACAGAAGTAAGATGTTCTGGGTCTGCTTATCGGGAGGAGTCATTCAGTTAGTGCCACATAATCATTTTAACATTTCTCCCATTGCTGCCAGGGCATCCTGCATCACCTCCCAAGCCAGCCTCCCACGTCACCTGGGTGGTGTACTAATTCACGGCCAGGAGCACTGACTGTTCCTGCTCCCACGTCACCTGGGTGGTGTACTGATTCACGGCCAGGAGCATTGACTATTCCTGGCCACCTCCTTGCACCTTTCCTGGTTCCCTCAGCCTCTCAAAGTTCTCATCTTTCCTTTGATGAGAAAGAGAAGGGCAGACTGAAAATAGACTCACCACCCACCTGTCCTTTCCCCCTGCCCCATACTGGTGGACCAGCATCACAGTAAAAATAGTTACCACTTAGTAAGAATTCATTATGAGCCAACTTAGGATTTTTGATAAGATAAAAGAGTTCAGCATAATTTTACATAAAATTAGTTTTTTCTTGATATATTTTCTTCTCTTCTGCTTTCCACACCTAATAAAACATTACAGAAAGTCTTGTTTTATTTATTTTGAGGACAGGCCTTAGGTAAAATGTGGAAGTTTATCTTGGAGCTTCCAATCTTCAAGTTCTCTTCTCCTTTCCCCATCCTCTGTCTTCTCCACTCTATCCTATCTTATCTCCTCTAGAGCCCAAACCCAGCCCCACTGATTTTTCTCAATCAAAGCTCATTTAAAAAAAAAAAAAGGATGGGAAAATCGTCGTTCCTCTCACTATGAATAGCTAAGAACAGTGCTATTAACTTGCCTGGTATGCTCTGCATTTTAACAGAAATCAAAGTCCAGAACTTTTTAAAAAAAAAAAAAAAAACCATTTACTGGAATATTGGGCTTAAGAGTGTTTGTGCATTTGGTTGAGAGGGCAGGAAGACCTATCAGTCTGCATGTGGCACACACTCTAATAATTTTCTTCAAGTTCACATGCCATTGCCTTGGGACATCAGGGCCCCAGCCAGGCACTGGAGGGGCAGAGGGAGGCATGTGGGCAACTTTGAGGGGAGTGGGAGAAAGTGATACTTAATCTCATACTTAACCAGGTGACCACTTGTTTCCTCAAAAGTGCCCTCCTTTGCTCTGCTGATCAGAGATTGCTTAGTGGTTATGATTAGTAGTGAAGTTTGTTTGAATATAATATTTTCTGTAACAAGCCTTTTTTTTCGGGAGCAAAAACAAATTTTAAAACTTTTTTTCATATATTGTCCCATTTTAAAAATTTACTTACATTTGTTTTTAATTGTGTAACTGTAAAAATAAATAATATATGCCTATGACGTATATTATCCTACCCTCTTCAGCCCCCAACACAACTCCTGTTTAGCAACCATAGTTATTCCTTTCTTGTTTACCTTTCCAGAAATGGTCTGTTACTTACAAACATATCCAAATGCATCTTTTCTTTCCATTGGCAGCATTTTATATCAAATGCTCTACATCTTGTTTTTTTCCCCTTAAAAGTACATCTTGAAGAGCTTTTCATTTCATCAGAATATGGCCATATTCTGTCTATGGTGGTATTCATCTCTGTTTCATGGATATGACAGAATCTATCTAACCATGAGAATTTCAGTCACTTCTGATCACTTCTTATCACAGAGGATGCTACAATGAATGACCTTGTACAAATGCATGTAGGAAAATACCTAGGAATTGCTGGATAAAAGAGCTTGTGCAAATTGTTCTCAAAAAGAAGTATTACTAATTTACCCACCAGAAATAGATGAGAATACCTGTTGCCCCTCATTGCAATTTTAATTTACATTCATCATTACCTTCTGCAGTGATCAAAATGTCTATGCCTGTGCTGTCCAGTACAGTGGCCACTAGCCATGTGTGGCTATCCAGCATTTGAAATGAGACTGGTGTGACTAAGGAACTGAATTTTTAATTACATTTTATTTTAATTAATTTTAAATAGATACATTGGACAGAGTAGCTTCAGAGCAGAGTAGGGTATGAAAGAGTTTGGAAAGAGACAAAAGGGGATATGAGACATATTGCTGAGAAATTATGAATTGGAAGGTCTCTCTAACGTTAACCATTGAAATTTTCGTTATTTTGTCTTTTAATTTTCAAAATTACTTTTTAAAGTGATAAGTTTTTACGAATTACTTTTGAATGTATGCTTTTTTTTTTTTTTTTTTTTTTTGAGAGGGAGTCTCGCTCTGTCGCCCGGGCTGGAGTGCAGTGGTGCAATCTCGGCTCACTGCAAGCTCTGCCTCCCAGGTTCACGTCATTCTCCTGCCTCAGCCTCCCGAGTAGCTGGGACTACAGGCGCCCGCCACCACGCCCAGCTAATTTTTTGTGTTTTTAGTAGAGACGGGGTTTCAACGTGTTAGCCAGGATGGTCTCGATCACCTGACCTCGTGATCCACCTGCGTCTGCCTCCCAAAGTGCTGGTATTACAGGTGTGAGCCACTGCGCCCGGCCGAATCTATGCGTTTTTAAAATTACATTTGGATTGTGCTTCCTCAAACAAGACTCTCCAGAGAAAGCAAGCCTGGTTAGCCCTGGATCTCTAATGGTTGTAGTGGTGGAGAGGCATGTGGGCGTCTCTAGTCTCTGCTTCTCCTTCTCTTCATGGCAGCACCCAGCTCCCAGGCCTCAGCACTGCCTTCCCAACCCCTTCTCCTACCCCGGGTGGAGGGCCAGCTGCCCTCACATTTGCAGGGCCCATGGTAATATGTCACAATACTTAAAAGAAATACAGTAAGCTAAAAACAATAATAAAATATTTTCCATCCTTTTACTTACACAAATGTGTCCTCAGAATGACCTAAAAGGTTTGGAATGTTCGCAAGAGTTTCATGCCAGAGAATTGCAGCACTGAGAAATCTGGATCCTGGTCTCCAGCCCATCTCCTTTCCCCATTCCACACTCCCCTTCAACTGTGAAGGCCATCGCGATCATGTGTGTGGACACGCCAATGCTGAAGTTTAAACTCCCCACTCCCACCACCTCTGACAACTGCTAGGTTAGATCTCAGTCTGTTTGAGCAAGAAATCCCAGGATTCTTGGTAGCCAGGCAAAGTGGGGAAAGGGCATACAGGATCTGGGTGGGCATGTCCCCTTGGTGTCACATACTACTCATCCCATAGGGGCTAACAGAGGCAGAAGAGGCCCTGGTCTGGGGGAGGTGAACAAATCAAAACTACCTTTTGATAGCCTAAGGAGAATTCTTCAGGGAAATACCATGGCTTTTACTCCTTTTTTCCCCTTGCTCTTAATTTTCCACAGATTTCCACCTCTTTATTCATAGTCCCCACCATTCTCTGCTCTGTGCCTGGACATCTTTTACTGGAACAGCCAAGCCCAGTCTTTGCCCATGACAGCAGGTGGCAGCAAGAACACTTGAATGGAAGCGGGGAATCAGTCGACTTCTGTTCACTAGGACATTATTATGGAGCCCCAGAGGCAGATAGTGCAGAAGAAGCTAAGGCTCTTTCTTGTTAGGGCCCCTTCTTTGAGTATCCTGTGCATTCTGCCACCCGTGACCTTTACTTGTAAGACCACATTTTTCTGTGTAAGTGTTTGGAAGTAGACCTTTTTCAGGCCTCCACTCAAAAAATGTCCCTTTTTCTGTGAGGCCTTTCCTGACCAACCCCGTGAATTATCCCTACCCTGCACATCCTGTCCTGTTTTGTCTCTCTCCGTAGTATTTATCATCATCTGACATATCATATTTTTTTCTTCTTTGTTTTTTTCTGCTTCCTCCATCTGAAAATGAGCTCCATAATGGCAGGGATTTTTATAGTAACTCTAGTGTTATTGGATGCGTTTGAAAGTGTCACATGAGGAAGGCAGGGGTGAGGATTAGGGAAGGGTGAATGGGGTGGGTGGATCTAGTTCTAGCGGCTGTTCTATGAGAATGAGTACATTTGCTTGTCAATGGCAAATAACTAGCCAGTCTTCTATCTTTTTTTAACAGTCTCCTGGGAGATTAAGATGAGTGATCTAGAGGAGGAAGATGTTGATGAATTCAGCTCCAGTGGTTTTAAGTGCCCAACATGCTTTGCAGTGCAAGGAAGGAAATGCGATACAGAACTCAAATGGTGTGCAGCAGATAAAATAAAGTGTATTGAATTCTCTGGCATCATAAACACAGGTACTTTTCTAGGATGTACTGGTATTCTCTCACAAGCTTATGGGGTATGTGTTCCAAGGGTAGGGTTGAGGAGAAATCAGCTTTTGTCCAAATCTCTTAGAAATGAGGACACAGCAGTGGTCTGACTCTGTAAATATGTCCAACTGGCTTTCACATTCACTTATTTTTGAATTGATACATGTATTCATTGACAGGCTCTCTACTAGCTTTGAGGAAGTTGGTTCAGCATATTGGAGGAATCTTCATCTTCTGCAAATTTTGGTTAGGTTTAAAAAAAAAAAAAAAAAAAAAACATGGCCGGGCGCGGTAGCTCATGCCTGTAATCCCAGCACTTTGGGAGGCTGAGGCGGGCAGATCACTTGAGGTCGGGAGTTCAAGACCAGCCTGACCAACATGGAGAAACCCCGTCCCTACTAAAAATACAAAATTGGCCGGAGTGGTGGCACATGCCTGTAATCCCAGCTACTCGGGAGACTGAGGCAGGAGAATCACTTGAACCCAGGAGGCGGAGGTTGTGGTGAGCCGAGATTGCTCCACTGCACTCCAGCCTGGGCAACAAGAGCAAAACTCCATCTCAAAAAAACAAAAAACAAAAAACCACGGGGGCAATGTGTGCTTTTTTCCTCTGTTGTTGTTGTTGAAATTTTCAAAATAAGAGCTCTGGAGAGAGGCAATGACCAAGCTTAAACTTTCTTCAAAAAGATTGCAAATTATATTTTACTATGCTTGCTTTAAGAAAATACAATACAAAATTCTAAATTAATTGAAGACATTTAAATGAGAAATGATTTAGGAGTGATAGTGTGGAATAGCACGAAATGCAGTGGGCTGAGTTCCGTGAGGGTTGGGTTGTTTCCATAATTCCTCTTTACCTGCTCACTTCCTCCTGCTGACGCTGGGGAGCTCCACCTTCCTGAAGTTCATCTAAGTGAGGTAATTAGAAGGCTAACCATGTTGGTTGGTCTCTTGGATTCTTATGTTTCTACTTTCTGTAATTTGCATAATAAAAGAGATGTATTTGCTTTAAAATAGCAATCACTCGATTGCTATTGACACTGCAGAAGAAGTAAGATGAAATCATCGAGAGCGTAGAATATGTGCCATGTGAAAGAATATGTCTGAAGGTGCTTTGAAAGGCAGGGAACACAATCACAGTCGTAGCTTTTTTATGGCTATTGCTAGTTCTTAAATGATAACTCAGACCAAGAATAAGAGATTAGATTTATGTTCCTAAATTTACAAAGAGTCTACATAACTGAAACACAGACATACCCCCTCCCCTGAGTATCAGTAGCATACAGGATACCCCTAACAAAGTCATTAGGACTTCTTACTACCATTGGCATAAAGGGTCTATAAAAGCATATGCTATCTCAAGTGGTAATGTAAGTTGGAAAAAAGTTCATATAAAGTTTAGAAAATATGCCAATATGTGATTGACATAGATTTTGAGAAGATTTAGGAATTTGGAAGTCCCATCTTTGGAGGACACATTTCTAGCTCATTGCCTCTGCTGCAGAGAGCCCTGTCAGATGGATCACACCAGAGTGTGACTTGACTTATATCCTACTCCAGCCCAGTCTGTATGAGTAAAATGCAGAGTATAAGGAAGGAGGAGGAGAGTGGAAGTCTCACTTACAGTTTCTTGCAGGTATTCGTGACGTAGCCATTGAAATGAAGAGATGCACACAAGCAGACCTATGCAAAGAGACGATAACTTCTTAGATGGGTTTTCCAATTGCTAACAAGAGTAGAAATTGCAAATCAGCCATCAGAAATGGGGCCAGAATCAGACCCCCATCTCCCATCTTCTTTGTTCTTTTCCTGGGGAGGGTACTTCATGGAGCTCTGGCAAGAGCCTAGCCACTTCCATTTATGAATTAAACCTGAATTTTTTTGTTAATGTATTCTTTCATGAGTGTTAATTTCTCCATAGTTATATTCAGTTGTCCATTTGTTTACTCATTCAATGAGTTTACTTGTTGTGTATCCAGCCTTGCATAAAGTGTGTTAGGGTCAAAGTGAATCAGCTTTGGGTCCCTGCCTTTAAGGTCCCAAAGCATTTAGAGAATGAGGACGTGTGCAGTTAAAATGCTGAGAAAGCAATTTAAGAAGAACATAAAAGAGCAGAAGCACTCTGCTTAAGGAGCCTGAGGGATTGGTTTGGACATAGGGTAAAAGTAGAAGACTGTGGGTTTGATTAAGGAAAGATTGGGATTTTAGATGGACTTTGAGGAGACCTTTACTATATGGCAGCAGAAATAACATGCACTGAGACATGGACATGGGGAGATGGGTGGAGGCTAAGATGCAGTAGCTGAAATTAATGGTAGGAGGAGTGGGGGAGAGGAAAATGTCAGCAAGTATATGGGCCTGGCTGGAAGCATCTTTCTGAGAGGGATGGAAAGTGCTGCCCTGGATGAACACAGTGGACTCACTGAGCTGAGGACAGGCCAGCTCTGTGATGGAAAACAGTTTCCTTCAATCCACCAGAGAGATGATCAAAAGCCAAGGTCCCTGGTTCTCACTGCTGACTACTTTTTGTTTTGTTTGTTTGTTTGTTTGTTTTGAGACAGAGTCTCGCTCTATCGCCCAGGCTGGAGTGCAGTGGCGCAATCTCGGCTCACTGCAAGCTCTGCCTCCTGGGTCAAGCAATTCTCCTGCCTCAGCCTCCCAAGTAGCTGGGACTACAGGCACGTGCCACCACGCCCAGCTAATTTTTTATATTTTTATTAGAGATGGGGTTTCACCATGATGTTAGCCAGGATGGTCTTGATCTCCTGACCTCGTGATCCGCCTGCCTTGGCCTCCCAAAGTGCTGGGATTTCAGGCCTGAGCCACCGCGTCCGGCCCACTGCTGACTACTTAGTACAGAATCACCCAGGAGCTTTAAATTAGAATGCGCATCCTAGGCCCCCTGCCAGAAATTCAGATTCAGCTGATTTGGGATGAGCCTGGCCTTGCTCCCGCATTTTTGTCCTTTGTGTTGTTTTAAATGCTCCCCAACCAGGGTGACTTTAATTTTCAGCTACTATTTTTTAAAATAACTGAAGTATAAGTAAAAGATCATAATTTATTTTACCCAAAGTGAAAGACCTCCAATTAAAGCCAACCAACTATAGCGTGTAAAACAGAAGATTGTTTACATGATATCAAATGTCAATTGATATAAAGTTTGAAAAATTGCAAGTACTCTTCTTTAGCTTTAGATTAGTTGTGCAATACAAGAACACTAACCAAATTAATGGCTTTTCTTCTCAAAGGACTTCCTAATTTATGGAGAAATGTCATTCATGACCCCGAAAATCAAACTCATGGCATAAATACATTTTAATCCTTTATGTCTCTCAAAGAAAAAAATTCCAACTAAATGTGATTATATTTGTTTCTGTCATGACAACTTGTACTCCAGATGTATTAAGTCAACTATCAGGTTTTATTGGAATTTTTAAACAAGAGGCAAATGCATTTATTTATAGCTTTGTTCTCCTGAAAATTTTTATTCTCAGTTTTCTCAAACACTCTATGAAAAGTGTCATGGATAGAGTTTTTTTAAATCATTGAGTTCATATGCGTCAGTGCCATAAATCGTCACCAGTTTATGGAATAATTATATAAAAGAGAAGATAGTGAATTTAATGAACTTGTGTTCTTTGCCAATGCTCATTGGGTGAATCATGGAAAATTTTTACAAAGATTTACTATATTATTAACTCGAATTCCCAGTTTTATTCAAACAGAAGGAATACTTGCCAACCATTTAATAATCAAAGACCAAAATGGGCAATGTAATTTATGTTTTCTCGTTGATGCTACATTTCACACATGAGCTAAGATTTAGCCTCCAATCAAAGGAAAAGCTTATTTGTAAACTTGGTAAAAAGATATGACACTATATTGAAATAGAAACTTTTTACAAGACAAACAATAATGATTTTACACACTTTTAACTTTTTTTTTTTGAGACGGAGTCTCTCTCTATCACCCAGGCTGGAGTGCAGTGGCACCATCTCGGCTCACTGCAACCTCTGCCTTATGGGTTCAAGCGATTCTCCTGCCTCAGCCTCCCAAGTAGCTGGGATTACAGGTGCCTGCCACCACATCCGGCTAATTTTTGTATTTTTTAAGTAGAGACGGGGTTTCACCATGTTGGCCATGCTGGTCTCAAACTCCGGACCTCAAGTGATCCATCCACCTCAGTCTCCCAAAGGGCTGGGATTACAGGCGTGAGCCACTGCACATACTTTTAACTTTTTAATAATAGGCAGAAGATTTTGATTGTCATCAACATTGTTATGTAAAGTGGCTGTAAAAACTATAAAAACATTAAAACACTCTTGGTATTTATAAATTTAGGGTTGATTTTCAATTTTTGTGATAACTTTCATTATGATGTTCATAATACTGAGTGGACACAGAGTTAGTGAAATTACTTAATTTGGATGAATTTAGTTTTGAAATTGATACGAAGTGATAGGATTCACTTCAAATGAAATCAAGAGAGCGATATCACCAAGATGACAGAGTAGGACATACTGGCCTTCATTCCCCTTGCTCCCCTGCACCCCTCCAAAAATAGCTATCCACAAATCAACATGGCACTGACAGGTCTCAAAGACCCTGTGTTAGTCTGTTCTTGCACTGCTATAAAGAACTACCTGAGACTGAGTAATTTATAAAGAAAAGAAGTTTAATTGGCTCACGGTTCTGCAGGCTGTACAGGAAGCATGGCTGGGGGGCCTCAGGAAACTTACAATCACGGTGGAAGGTGAAGGGGAAGCAGGCATGTCTTTCATGGCTGGAGCAGGAGGAGGAGAGCAAACGGGAAGGTGCTACACATTTTTAAACAACCAGATCTCATGAGAATTCACCCACTATCATGAGAACAACAAGGGAGAAATCCACCCCCATGATCCTGGTCACCTCACACCAGGCCCCTCCTCACATTGAAAAATACAATCATCCTTTCTCAACGGTCCCCCAAGTCTTAACTCATTTCAGGATTAACTCAAAAGTCCACAATCCAAAGTCTTATCTGAGGCAAGAAAGTTCCTTCCACCTATGAGCCTGTAATATCAAAAAACAATTAGTTACTTCCAAGATACAAAGGGGTACAGGCATTAGCTAAATACTCTCATTCCAAAAGGGAGAAATTGGCCAAAACAAAGGGACTACACTCTACACAAGTGCTCCCTCACTGGTAATTAAGAAGAAATTCTATCTATTTATTGTCCCTCTTTTCTCACATTCCACATCAAGCCCATTAAAAAATCCTGCTGTATCTACTTTCAGAGTATCTTTAGAATTCTACTTTTTTTTGCCTTTCCCACTGCCACCACCTCGATCCAAGCCTCATCTCTCACTGTAGTATTGCCATAGCCCTTCTGTTCTCCCAGCTTCCAGCCTTAGTCCCCTAGAGCCTACTCTCATCTCAGCAACCAGGTTCATGTCATATGGTGTACTGCCTCTGCTCAAAATCCTCCAGTGTCACCCACCTCACTCAGAGCAAATGCCAAAGCCAGAATGATGTGGGCCTGCTGTTCTCCTAGTGCTCTGCTGCTTGCTCACCTTCTTGGTTATCCTCCTACTCATCTTCTTGTTCTTCTTCTTGCTCACCTCCTTGCTCACTCTCATTGCTTATCTACTTGTTCTCCTCCTTGCTTACCTTCTTGCTATTCTGCATGCTTTCTGTTCTTGCTCACCCTCCTTTCTCACCTCCTTATTCTCCCCCTTGCTCACCTCCTTGCTTACCTCCTTACTCTCCTTACTCATCTCCTTGCTTACCTCCTTACTCTCGTTGCACACCTCCTTGCTCATTCTCATTGCTTACCTCCTTGCATGTTCTCCTGGATCACCTCCTTGCTCAACTCACTGTTCTTTTCCTTGCTTATCTCCCATCTTCACCTCCTTGTTCTCCTCCTTACTCACCTCCTTGCTTATCTCCTTACTCTTTTGCCCACTTTTCTTTCTCTCCTCCTTGCTCACCTTCGTCCTCTTCTTCTTGCTGTCCTCCATGCTCTCCTTCTTGCTTTCTCTCTTTGCTCTTTTCCTTACTCACCTCCCAGCTGTCCTCCTTGCTCACTACACTCCAGCCCCAGTTGATCTTTTTGCCATTCCTTGAGCAGCCACACTCCCACTCAAAGCCTTTGCACTGGGTTTTTCCTCTTCCTGAATCGCTCTTCCCCTACATATCCATGAGGTTTCCTCCTTTTCTCTCTCCTACCCTTTCTTCAGGCATTCACTAAAAAGTCACTCTTTCAGTGAGACCTTCCATGATCACTCTACTGAAAATATTAACTCCATCTTCCAACAGCCTTTCATATTTCCTTCCCTACTTTATGTTTTCTTCTTAGCATTATGCAACCTAACATTATACTTATCTAATTTACTACACATTATACTTACCTAATTTACCACCCATCTGCCCAACTGGAATGAAAGCTGTACAAAGACAGGGATGTTCATCTGCTTTGTTCACTATCTTATCCCCAACACTAGAATAGGACCTGCCATATAGCATGAGCTCAAGAATATCGGTTGCACTGAAGGATGAATGCATGAAAAGGTGGATGGATGAATAAACAATGGAAAAAGAAACTTGACTTAATTAGTAGCTACATTATGAATAACCACAAGATGGAGACATTCATTAATAAAATGTTATCCCTCTGTTTTTTTGTTTGTTTATCTGCTTCTTCCTGTCTGTATTTGTGTGTCTTGTTTACCTCTGTTTCGCACTATCTGTTCATATCTGTATGGGGCATGTGTGTGTCTTTTCTTCCCTTTTTTATTTTGTGTCATTTCTTGTAGAGTTGGTTATATTTTTCTTTCTCTGTCCATGTAGTCTGCATTTGGCAATACAAAATAAAAGTCAGCACTGAAATTTATTTTGCCAAGGTTAAGGATGCATCCAGGAGACAGGTCTGTACTTATCTCCAAAGATGATTGTGAGGGCTTCAAAATTTAAAGGGGGAAAGACAGATACTGGGGAAAGAGGAAAAAATGTTTTAAAGTGTGGGTAAATAGGAGGCAAGCAGTGGCATGCTTTCGAGTCTTTGATAAGCCCTTCACTTGTGAGAAGTAGGTAGAGGAATAGTCACTTATGCATTCATCTGGCTCAATTAATCTGCATTTTTATATAATATAAACATAAGGCAGAATGTTGGGGTGATCAGACCCAACACCAGGTCACGGGAGTGAGAAAGTCTGGCAGAGTCAAAGGACTGAGAAAAAGACAGTTGGAGAAGTAAAGTGGGACCACGGGACCATCACAATTGTGGAGGCTGTGAAGGCCCGGAGCTCTGGGAGCCCAGTGCTATTTATTGGTAATCCAGCAAAGAAACAGGTGGTAAGAATGTGGAGGCTGAAAGGGCGTGTTGCATTAAGCACATGATTTACAGCTGTGATGGTTTAGCATCTGCTCTGCTACTTGAGAAAATGGAGAGCAGGTTCTTTTAACTCAAGGTACTGTTGATCCTGGGAGGGCAAGGAGCAAGGAGCAAGGAGCCAGCAAGTCTAGACACATTCCAGAGCTGCGAGCCCTGGATTCTGTCCAAGCCATGAGGGATTTTATGCCCTGGGCTTAGATTATGGTGCATCAGGGTAGCCTTCCACCCATTAGCACAGAGCTTGGTGTTCCAAAGACCACAAGGGGATTTAGACCCTGAACCCTGGACATGTTCCAGAGCTCTTTTACGTTATGTCAGATATGCAAGCCCCACCTCAGCTTCTCCCAACACTCAGCTTTTCCCAACACAGAGGAAGAAATCTGATATGCATTTGTCTCAGGTGGGCAGAAGAATGACTTTGAATTCTGCCCTTTGTCCCATACCTGTGAAGATACACTATCAATTTACATTTTCAGGCTAAAATTCAGCAGAACTATTTTAGGGTAAAGGAATTTCCTAATGTACAAATTGTGAAGGAGGTATGTAGCTTTTCTTTTCTTTTTTTTTTTTAATCTTTGAGGTTATCTTATTTAGGAATAAAATGGGAAACAAATTTCCCTGATGCAGTTCCCAGCTTGACTTTTCGCTTTTGCTTAGTGAGCCCGGAGTCCTGAGATTTATTTTCCTTTCACAGTTCCCATGTCAAAGTTGGACATGGATTTGCTGGAGTGGAGGCAAGAGGCACAGATACCAAAGGACCTTTGGGGCTGAGTGTTGGATGGGTCATCTACACAGATTTGAAAGGGGGCAGGCCTGGGGTTGGGAGAGCACCATGCTTTTGTCTTAGAGACCTGACCTCTGAGAAGGATCGTCATTGACCCGAACTGGGGTCTGCCCACCCAGCTGGTAAGACCAGATATATACACTGAGGTTTGCAGCAGTAAAAAGGAAGGCAGTTATTTGCAGAGCACCAAGCAAGGAGGACCAGGAAGCTAATGCTTAAATCCTGACCTCTGAGGTGGCTTGCAGGTAATGGTTTTTAAAAGCGGGGTAGGCCAGCGCGGTGGCTCACGCCTGTAATCCCAGCACTTTGGGAGGCCAAGGTGGGCAGATCAGCTGAGGCCGGGAGTTCAAGACCAGCCTGACCACCATGGAGATACCCCATCCTTACTAAAAATACAAAATCAGCTGGGTGTGGTGGCAGAGCCAGCTGTGGTGGCGGCGCCTGCAATCCCAGCTACTCAGGAGGAGGCTGAGGCAGGAAATCACTTGAACCTGGGAGGTGGAGGTTGCAGTGAGCAGAGATCGCACCATTGAGGCGGACGTTGCGGTGAGCCGGGGTCATATCATTGCACTCCACCCTGGGCAACAAGAGCGAAACACCATTAAAAAAAAAAGAAAAAAAAAAGCAGGGGTAAATTTCAGGAAAGCTACAGGCAAAGTTGTAAATCAATCCTGGAGGTTACACATTGGTTTTGACCTAAACGGGTGGGATATCTTGAAGTGGGGCTTACAGGTCGGGGTAGATTCTAAGATTTTCTGATTTGCAATGGTTAAAGAGTTTTGTTTAAAAATCAAACAAAAAAGAATATTAGTGCTGGCTCATGGGTATGACCTTCTCCAGGCCCCTCAGAAAGAAATTTCTAATGGCAATCACAGTTCAGTCCTTAGTTCTCCCTTATCTGAGGTCTGTGTGTCTGCAGTTCCATTTTGTGGGGCTCCAGGTTTCTGAAAACTAGCTCAGGAACATATGTTAAGATATTATCTTTAATTTCTATGGGGAGCCAAACATCTTCTGGCTCTAGTTTCTTTGGCTATTGTTTTAAACTACTATTACCTTCTTGCTTATCAAATTGTTCATTTACTTTTCTAAGCTAGCTAGGTGCCTGGAATTTTCCTTGAAGGTACTCAAGAATTTCTTTTATGTCCATGCCTGGGGGACCCAGAGACCCCTAAGAGGGGTCCCTGCTCTGTCTCAGGATCCAAGAGCCAGAGCAATGAGGAGCCAGAAATTAGCTGCGGTCATCAGCCTCTGTCTGTGGAAAGCGAAGAACAGCCTCTACCTGAGATTACGACAGGGAAAATCGTTCCTCCCTTCATCTTTAAGCCCCTCAAGCACGCTGCATTATGTTCAGTTACCTGGAGCAATGGTCTACATTATATTTCGTACTCTTTTCTGCAGGAGGCAACAGAAGATTGGTTCTGCATTTTTGTCAAATTTCTTGTAGGGCCAAGCGCAGTGTGGCTCACACCTGTTATCCCAATGCTTTGGGAAGCCGAGGCAGGAGGATCACTTGAGGCCAGGAGTTTGAGACCAGCCTGGGCAACATAGACACCCTGTCTCTACCAAAAACATAAAAATAAAAAATTAGTCAGGCATCATGGCGTGTGCCTGAAATCCTAGCTACTTGGGAGACTGAAACAGGAGGATCGTTTGAGCCCAGGAATTTGAGTTTACAGTAAGCTATGATTGTACCACTGCACCCCAGCCTAAGCAACAGAATGAGACCCTGTCTTTAAAAAAAAAAAAAATCTAGTAGGACATCATCCATAATGTTCAGAGTTCCATATAAAAAGATTCCTATAATCTCTCTCAAAAGTTTGTTCTGTTGATGATCTAAACTTGCTTTGTGTGTGCTAATTCCCTCTCAAAGACAGCCACAGCCATAAATTAGTTTCCTGGTACAGTGACCCTCCCCTTCACCCATTGTATAACACAGCTTTGTAATATTTTCCTTAGTGTAACAGTTCCAATAGTCCTCATTTATAGATACCTTTTGTTGACAAAAAATATATATTTGAAGAGATTTTATTCTGAGTCAAATGTGAGGGCCATGACTCATGATGCAACTTCAGAAGGTCCTGAGAACACGTGCCCAAGATGCGTGGGTTACAGCTTCATTTTACATATTTTAAGGAGACCTAAGACATCAATCAATACATGTGACATATACATTGGTTCAGTCCTAAATGGTGGGACAACTCAAAACGGGGCTCACGGGTCACAGGTGGCTTCAAAGATTTTCTGATTGGCCGTTGGTTGAAAGAGTTATGTTATTATCTAAAGACCTGGAATCACTAGAAAGGCGTGTCTAGGTTAACATAAGGGGTTGTGGAGACCAAGGTTCTCATTATGTACAGAAAGCCTCAAAGGTGGCTGCCCTTGGAGGCAAGAGGTGGCATCTTTAACACATGTGATGCTGATACTTAGTTGGTGCTTGTTAATTTTTGTTGGTGAATGATTCTTATTCTTGATCTAAGATGGCAATTTTCTGTTATTTGAGGCTTTCTATGTAACTCTTCAAACATGGAAAACAACATGGAGTACTATGTGATGATAGATTTCAACTTTAGGGGCAACATTTATTGATTTTAGACTTTTAATAGAAATCAGCTGTCAAAAAATTAGCTGGGCATGGTGGCGGATGCCTGTAATCCCAGCTACTCAGGAGGCTGAGAATCGCTGGAACCTGGGAGGCAGAGGTTGCAGTGAGCCCAGTTCGCGTCACGGCACTCCAGCCTGGACAAGAGCGAAACTCCATCTCTTAAAAAACAACAACAACAACAACAACAACAAACAGAAAGAAAGAGATCACCTGTCAAACCCCAAAGACTAATGAGGCAATGTGCCATAGTCAACATAAAGTTTTTATTTCAGCTAGAACTACTGAGATGAACAGGTCATGTAGAATCGGCCACACTCCTCATCTCCTCAAATGCTGGAGCATCTTCTGTCCCTAGAAATGTGTGCGGACAAGAGATTACAGGCTTGTTTTTTATTCATTATCACCCTCCCAAACGTAAAGCAATAGGCAACTATTCTGCAACTTCTCCTCAGTCACTGGTTCCCAACTCAGCACAAAAAAGCACTTTCAAAATTCCATTTTCTGACCTGAAGTTTCACCAATTGGGTGTCCCCAGTCTTTGAATTTTCACCTCCTCTAAACATTCCTGATTGTTGTGTAGAAATAGAATATATTCGGCAGCTCATGTACCCAACTTTTACACATGTGGATAGACTAACAGAAGCATGTAAACTAAGCATTATTGGTTGTTATGACTGAATGTTGCCCCTAAAAATGTATATATTGAAGACCTAACCCCCAGTACCTCCAGATGTGACTGTGCTTGTGTTACTGGAAGGAGGGTCTTGAGTGAGTTGTCTGGGTCCTTGGCGTTTTGAACAAAGAATTGGACAAAATGCACAAAGTAACAAAGGAATGAAACACAGGAATGAAGTAGCAAACGCAGGGATTAAAGTGAGAAAGCACTCCGCAGGGTGGGAGCGGGTCCCAGCAAGCCACTCAAGGACCCAGTTACAAGGTTTTCTGGGCTTCAAGTACTTCTTTTGAGGTTCCTATGGGTAACCCCTTATCTGGATGAAGGATTTGGTCTGTGGCTGAGGCTGAGGTGAACTGGCAACCTGTGCAGATGCAGGGATGGTCCCTGCTTGGCCCTCAGGCAGTTCAAGGCACTCTCCCTTTCGCTGTGAGCCTTGGTGGAGTGGGGAGGTGGTAAGGAGAGTAGCCTTTGAGCCTTTGTTATCGGTGTGGGAAGATGGGGTTTTTCCTTTGGGTTTAGCTGTAGGAAGTTTAAGTTAATTGGCCTTAGGGTCCCTGCCCCCAGACACAGGTGTTTTCCTTTTGATCCAGCTTTATGAAATTATCACGAATCGGCCTCATATTCCCTGCCCCCAGACCTTGGTGTTTTCTCTTTTAGGAAGTTAGCACAAATTGGCCTCAGATTCCTTGCCTCTAGACCTTGGAGATTTTCCTTGATTTGGCATGAATTGGCCTTAAGTTCCCTGCCTCCAGACCCTATTTATTCTCCTGCCCCCAGACCCTATTCTCCTGCCTCATTTGGAGATAGGGTCTTTACAGGGTAATTAAGTTACAGTGAGGTTATTAGTGTGGGCCCTAATTCAATATGTCGACAAAAAAATTATGAATGTTGTTATGTTGTTTTCATAAACGTTTGTGTACAAGTTTTTGCGTTTACATGTTTTCAGATATCTGGGGTATATACCTAGAAGTGGAACTTCTGAATAAGATGGTAGCTCTGTTTAACTTTTTGTAAAATTGCCAGTGTTTTACAAAGTAGCTGCACTATTTTATATTTCCATTAGTGTGCAGGGGGTTTTGCATTTCTCCACACCCTCACCAGCATTTGTTATTGTCTTTTTCCTTGTAGCCATCCCAGTATTGGGCCCCAGGACAAGATGTGCTCTGGTGGTGGCTCCAGTCCCATTCCTGAACGTGCCATGCTGCAGCAACCTGGGTCCTGGGCCACTGGGGGAACCCAGCATAAATTCTTTCTCTGGAATAATAAAGTCATATGGACTCTAGGCAGCACCCTCTACTGCACTTAGGGACTGTGAGCAACCTTGGGCTGTGAGGTATGAAGTATCATCTCGTTGTGGGTTTTTTTTTTTTTTTAAGACAGGGTCTCACTCTGTCACCCAAGCTGGAGTGCAGTGGTGCAATCAGCTCACTGTAACCTCAATCTCTTGGGTTCAAGCGGTCCTCCTGCCTCAGCCTCCCAAATAGCTGGGCCTACAGGCACACGCCACCATTCCTGGCTAATCTCATTGTGGTTTTGATTTGCATTTCCGTGGTGGCTAATGATGTTGAGCATATTTTCATGGGATTTCTGGCCATTTGTATATTTTCTTTGGAAACGTTAACAGTCTTTTGTTACCTTTCCTTTTTACTTTTAATGGCTAAACACAATCTTTTCCCTTTTTAAGCTATTTAAGAAAAGCAACACCTTAAAATAATACAACAACAATTAGATGAAACTGAGGTCCAGATAACTCTCCTTTGCTGATTCTATTCTTTGTACTCAGAAGTGCCAGTGTTCATGAAGACCTGTAGTCCCCACATGATGAGAGGCAAAAACATGAGAATTATTAGTTTAGGTCACATTGTACACTGAGTTTTGTGGTGGGTGGTTTTTATCTTATTTAGGGAAGTTTAAAACAATCTTATTTAGGGAAGTTTTCTCTTATTTAGGGAAGTTTATTTTATTTAGGAATGTTTAAAAAAGTTTAAAACAATTAGGGAAGTTTAAAACTACATATTTCATCCTACTGACAGAGTTAAGCTTGCTTCATCTGCCTAGTGTCCTGAAGAAATTTCACAAGAGGTTACGAGAAAATGTAGTTTCAAAACCAGCAACGGCAGCAATATCCACAGCCGGTTATGGAGATTTTAAGCTTTTGTTTGAAAACCAGTTTCTAAAAATGAATCCAGTTGCAATAGCGTATGTATTTTAAAGAGAATGATAATTATATAGGGCAGTAGAAGAAAAGCTGGAAAAAGAACACAACAAACTTGAATGTTGATGCAATTTCATGCTGCTCTTCATTTATATCTTTGTATCTTATAAAGATAAAATAGGGAGATATAAATAGGGAATCAAAAATGTACATAGTTGAGTGAAAATTAAGCATAAGCACAATTATTTAATGTGTAGAGTTTGTGTTTGAGATTGTGAAAATGTTTCAGAGATGAATAGTAGAGGTGGTTACACAACGTGGTGAATGTACTTAATGACACTAAGTTATACACTTGAAAATGGTTTCAATGGCAAATTTTATGCTATGTATATTTTGCCACAATAAAAAGGTTTTTTAAGAGTCAGTAGCTCAAAAGAAGACAGAGAGATCAAATGGCTAGAGATGCCTAGCACTCACCTTCTCCACAAAGAAGGACCAAAGTAACAAATTGATAAACACACATTGACTAGAATGTCTAAGGAAGAACACTGGAATTCAGCAGATAGTGTTCAAATTCAAAGAAAAGAAACTTTGAGGCACAAAAACTCAGGATGACAGCATAGAGAGGTAAGCAATGCAGCCTACCGAGATGTGCTTGGAGCCAGGAGGGACTCCCTCCCCATTGCGGAGAAAAGGTTAGCAGGAGGTCCCCAGAAGTCTATATTTCCACCAGACACCTGCAGTCATAGCTACAGGAGAGCCCTCAGCCCTCACAGTCCCTTAGTCTAGTATAGGGTACTGCCTAGAGTCCACATGACTTTACTACTCCAGAGAGAGAATTTATGCTGGATTCCCCCAATGTCCCAGGACCCAGGGCTGCAGCATGGCACCATTTTGGGAGTGGAGCCATCACCAGAGTACATACTGTCCAGGGGCCCAATTGCTCCTTCATCTCCACATCCATCCCTGGGGTCTCATCCACATCCCACCACAGGTACCCAGAGTGTTGCTGCATAAAGACACAACTGAGATCTGTTATAGCTGTGCAGCTGTGACCCTGGCACCTGAGCCCATGCAGCCCCTTATACCCTGTGGAGCCAGAAGACTGGTGTGTGTGCTCCCCAGACCCTGAAAGCCACCTGCCTGGGCTTTTGCTGCTTCTGCTGCAGGACACATCCACTCTAGTGGTAGTGTCATCTCACACCTGCACATACTGCCCAAGGGCTAAAGGAATGGCCTGCCCAGAGCCTGCTACCACCAACACCAGCACCCATGAATGCCACCAATGGGATGAAGACTGACAGTAAAGGGATGGAAAATAATATTCCATGCAAATGGAAATCAAAAGCATCCAAGAATAGCTCTATTTATGTCAGACAAAATAGACTTTAAGTCAAAAAACATAAAAATAGACAAAGAAAATCATTAAATAATGATGAAGAAATAAATTTAGCAAGAAGGTATAACAATTATAAATATATATGCACCCAACACTGGAGCACCAATGTAAAGCAAATACAATTAGATCTAAAGGGAGAGATAGACCCCTAATGTAATAATAGTTGGAGACTTTGTGAAAGGAAAATAAATCTTGGGGCCCCAAAATCACTAAGCTAAAGGGAAAAGTCAAGCTGGGAACTGCTTAGGGCAAACCTGCCTCCTATTCTATTCAGTCACCCCTCTGCTCACTGAGATAAATGCATATCTGATTGCATTTGGTCTTTGGAGGGGCTAGTCAGAAACTCAAAAGAATGTAACCATTTGTCTCTTATCTACCTATGACCTGGGAGTTCCCTCCCTGCTTCGAGTTGTCCTGCCTTTGCTTCGAGTTGTCCTGTCTTTCCAGACTGAACCAATGTTCATCTTACATATGTTGATTGATGTCTCATGTCTCCCTAAAATGTATAAAACCAAACTGCGCTCTGAGCGCCTTGGGCACATGTCCTCAGGACAACCTGAGGCTATGTCCTTTGTGTGCATCCTCAACCTTGGCAAAATGAACTTTTTAAATTAACTGAGACCTATCTCAGATATACAGGATTCACATTTTGTTAACTGTGGAGGGATTCTGAATGGAGATGCCCCTTGACCTTTGAAAAATCTCCTATTGGTGCTTGGTACCCGCATGAGCTAACTTTATGGCTCAAACCAATAGGACAATTTGCTGAGGTCTGGGAGCACCCCCTCCAGATGATACAGGAGCTAGAAAGAAATTATTTAGGCAGTTAATGAGGGTAAGAGAGTCCTTAGCAAGGTTTTGCTTTTAATAAAAAGCAGACCCCAAATCATTTCTTTTCTAACAAAGAGCAGCCTGAAAAATCAAGCTGCAGACATGGAAAAGCAAGCTAGAAGCTTGCATGGGTGAGTGCTGGCAGTTGTGCCAATAGGAAAAGGCTACCTGGGGGCCAGGCATGTTCAACATGGAGGCTCCATCTTCCCTTTTCTCTTTCAATCACATGTACAGTAAAGGAACAGACAACATGGTGCCAGCCAGGTAGGGGACCCATCTGCATAATAAAAGATTAGGATGGGGCTGCCAGCTTCTTTGTGTGCTATGTAAATGGCACACCTGCTCCTCCCAATCTCTCGTCTCCTGTGTAAATCACACTATGCCTCCTCAAGCTAATCCATAAAACCACATGCATTTCATCACGAAACCAGAAGACCCACTTGGAACCCCTTCTCTCTCTGGAGAGAGAGTTTTTTTTCTTTCTCTAGCCTATTAAACTTCCACACTTAACTTCACTCTGGTGTGTTTGTGTCCTTGATTTCCTTGGTGTCAGGCAACAAACCTCAGGTATTACCCCAGACAAACAATACTGCTTCACAGAGAATACCTGATCTCCCAAAATTTGGTTAAGATCTGAAGTTTATTTTGCCGTACAACTCCATTTTTTGAAGTTTTACTTGCTTCCAACAAGGAAGGCAAGATTTCTTGCTTCCATGATGATGGAAGGCAGGTAATTCCTCTATGGAGTTGGAGCTCGCTCCCAACAGGGAAGATGAGTTTGAGTTTTATTCCTGACTCTAGGATGGTAGAGGCTGTCTTCAGCCTGAGACCCATCCCTAAGTAAGTTAACAACCAGCTGTTCCTAATTTCTCTTTACCATTAGAGTGCCCAGTAATCATATTGTTGGGTTTTTTTATTGTTTTTTCCAGACTTTCTTCCATCAGATTTGGTCAAATCTGAGTGAGAATTTCAAATTTTGGGTAACAAAGCCTCTCTAATTTGGCTAAAATTCCTCTCCACTGCACAGGAAGGGAAAAAAACAAACACGTGCTTGGTTTCTGAGCTTGCTTCCTGTCTTAGAAAACAAATATTTTTTCATTCACTTTTCTTTCACACTATACCTCCTTCCCCCTTTGCCATATGCAGTACTACAAAATCTAGAGAAGACTTCTAGTGACTTGAACCCCTTTAAAGAATTCAGAACAAAGGCACCATTCACCCCTTTGGGCGTATTTTTTGGTAAGAAGCTTAAAGAGAAATAATTTTATATGAGAAAGAATCTTGTATGGTATATTTAGTCCTAGAATAAAATGACTGGTTGTTTAAGGAAGAGGGATATTCAGGAGAAAAAAAAAAAAAAAAAAAAAAAGAATTTGAACGTTCAAGCATGTCGTGAATGGTCTGCATAAGTGACAGTAAGAGGATTTACTTAAAAAAAACTGTTATATGATCAAGTTGTCTATTAATTAAAATAAAATTATGATAGTCTATCTAGAGATTGGGCTTGAAGTAAAAAAAGGAAACACACACTAATTAGTTAGAATGATAAAATTTTCTTAGGGGATTGATTTACTCTCAATTATGAAAGAATTTAATTTTTTTAACCAAAAGTTCAAATTTTATTGCATCTTGCCATTTTGGTTTTCTCTGCAGTTTTAAAGGGTGAGAAATAGTAATGCTCTCCAGCTCATTTTTCAGCTTATATAAATTCTTTTCCTCAAGTTCTGTTTGTTGAGGCCTGATGCTAACAATGTTTTCTTAAAGGTCTAAAGGAAATGTTTTCTTCCAACAGAATACTGTATGCAGTACAGCAGGTCTTTTCTTTTGCCTTTTGGTAATTGTCATAACAGATTTTAGGGTTTGTGAAAGCAATTTCTATGCTATTATTATTATTATTAAGTTTTTGTTTGCTTAGGGGAAAAACCAAAATTAAAAGAATTTTTTTATTTAAGGTTATTACATTTGTGTATCTTTCCGTATGGGCTTTTAGAGTCATTGTGACATTGAGTTACAGAGCTTTGACTCCTGGGTCTAAAAAGGACACCAAGTTCTGCTAAATCTTAAACACTGACAGGAATTAAAGCCTCATCTTCAGGCCTGGTAAAAGAAGCCAATCAAAATAAACTGCAATCCAGAGACATAGGGCCAGAAATTAAAGCTATTCAGCTCCTTAAGGCCCAGGGGCTATCATGGAAGAGACAGGCATGTGAGATTGTAAGGGGTGATTTGAAAGATAAAACAAGTTTAGTTTTTCTATAAATTAATCCTTAATGTCAAAGTCACACTGATGCAAGACCGACATATGGGCCCCTGTGTCAGATAACAAAGGTTTTCTTGAAGCATTAACTGACTCTTTAATAAAGGTTATAAATGTTATAAAAGACTTATGGAAGTTATATCTTATGATCAAGACTAAAATTTTATAGATTGTTTATAAAATTTTGAGAAACAAATTTAATTGGCTTAATGTTGTTTTTATTAGGGCTTACTGTTTGGGAAATTGAGTCTCCTCTCTCAAAGAATGAAGATTTTCACCTTTTTTTGAAATCCTTGAGTTATCACTTTGGTCAAATGAATGACTTATTTTACAATGACCTGTAATGTCAAATGTTTTAAATCTTTGATATTTGACAAACTTTCCAAAATAAAGATATAAATTATGTCTTTTTCTGACTTAATCCTTTAAGATATTAGGTTCCTTAAAGTTCAAAAATGACATAATTTGCTTATTTGGAATAAACGTTTTGTATATATATATATTATATATATATTATATAAGCATTATATATATAAATAAAATATATGAAACATTGTCAAATATAAAATGGTGTTTAAATTTCTTTGGCCTATGTTTGTAGAAATATGTTATTGGTATGTATTCCAAAATTATGGGAAACTCCTGTAATTCTCATATGAATTAGTGTACATTATTAGTAATAATTATAATTATGTTAAATTATCATGTGCCACAAAGGTAACAACTTTCCCTGTCTATTGACTATGACTATGACTATAGTCTTTGACTATGGTTGCCCTAAAACATTTTGTCATCCATGGACAATTGTCTTGTTTTGGTCCTCTTTAAAAGGTAGTTTTCTAATCAGCTATAAAATTCTAACAGGTACTCTTGAATACAAGTTTCTGATAACTTTGGATATTGTGACATTGGAATAGAAGAAAAACTTTTAGGACTTATGGAGAACTGAAATGTTCATGACTATCAAGCAGAACAGGAATTAACTACATGGGGTGAACTAATAGAAGACTAAAGTAATCTTTTTCACTTATGCTTAAAATGTTTCTGATTCTTTGTTTTGTTTTTTCGGTGGCAAATAAACTTTTCTTTTGAGCTACTGACAGCTTTTAACAATTTAATATACTCCTATGAACAAAATTTAGAATATATTTGTTTCTCTCTACCTGATTTATCCAGAATTTGAAAACTATTTGTGAGTATCTTTAACTCATGTCAATACAGTTATTTGCATAAGTTCAATAAGAATCTGTTTTTATTTATAACAGGGCACAATAAGGGAAACTGGTTATTTTATGAAGGCTTTGGCTGGAATGGTGTGCTTTCCTTTAAGGAATCAAACTTGACTTATGGAGCCAATAAAAGCTACTTGGGAAAACTGGCCTCATACCTTGTCTACACAGTCCCTGTACAGGATTCCTGATGTGTGGTAAGTAAAGCATGTCACTTTCTGACAGGCCCAGGAGCCCCAAGTTTATCTTGGAATCTCAAGAGTAAAAGAATTCACCCAACTCATAGGTACTTGATGCTACAAACCCATGGCTGGGCTTGGCTTTAAAAAAGTCTTATTTGAGACTCCTTCTATAGAACAAAGTTCCATCAAAGCCAATTTAAAAGCCTGTGTAAAAAAATTATTCTTTCTGCACTTTATACACATAATTAGGCCAAGTATAATAAAGCAAATTAATCCTACCATGATTTGTCTTTAGTAAAAGTGGGAAACTGGAGAGAGAAAAATTCTATTTCAAAAACTATAGTACAACTGTTGTTAGAGTCTAGTCTTGCCTAATGTTTTTCCATTTTTATTATTTTCTACAATTAGGACTGAATTCTAATGTTTCTGGGCTATAAGTCTTCAAAATGTTTTCAGTTTTTTTTCTTCTTTTTCCCCCATTTTTCCTAATTTGGAGTCATTGAAAACTAAGCTGTACTTTCATAAAGCCCTGTGAACTGAAGCTAGACAACTTAAACTTTAGAAGAAAATAACAGCAACCTATTTACATACATAACCCACTTTCATACCTGCCTACTAACATATAGACTTCAGAGTAATGTGGTCTATATCAATTCTCCAGGATTGTTCTTTTGTTATTGTTGCTTTTCTCCCTTTCTCTCCCTATTTTCCCTTCATAGAACATGAGACTTCACAATCTGCCAAAAATGAATTTTCCTAATAACTCAGGACCTACCCATCTAGGAATAAACCATCCTAGCCATGAGAGATCAGATAAAACCTGAGGACAAAGACTAATTTTCTTCTAATATGCTTTCTCCAAAAGATTTTGAGAAATAAAAAGGAGAAAATGTGAAAGGAAAATAAATCTTGAGGCTGCAAAATCACTAAGCTAAAGAGAAAAGTAAAGCTGAGAACTGCTTAGGGCAAACCTGCCTTCCATTCAATTCAAAGTCACCCTCTGCTCACTGAGATAAATGCATATCAGATTGCCTCCTTTTAAGAGGCTAATCAGAAACTCAAAAGAATGCAACCATTTGTCTCTTATCTGCCTATGACCTGGAGGGTCCCTCCCTGATTTGAGATGTCCCGCCTTTTCAGACCAAACCAATGTTTCATCTTACATATGCTGAATGATGTCTCATGTCTCCCTAAAATGTATAAAACCAAACTGTGCCACCTTGGGCACATGTTGTCAGGACCTCCTGAGGCTGTGTCATGGGTATGCATCCTCAACTGTGGCAAAATAAACTTCACTTTCATCACTGTAAAGATTAAGCAGAAAGTCAACAAAAAAAAATCAGATCTAAACTACACCATAGACCAAATGCACCTAACAGACATTAACAGAACTTTTTATCCAACATCTGCAAAATACACATTCTTCTCAGCACATAGAACATTCTCCAGGATAGACCACAGGTTAGGCCACAAAAAAAAAAAACTCAATACTTTTTAAAAATCAAAACCATATCAAGTATCTTCTCAGATCACAAAGGAATAAAACTAGAAATCAACATAAAAAAAATTTTTGGAATCTGTAAAAACACATCAAAAAAGTAAAAAGATTTCAATTAAACAATCTAACAATTCACCGCAAGGAACTAGAAAAGGAAGAACCAACCAATCCAAATATGAGTAGTAGGAAATAAATAATAAGGATCAGAGTAGAACTAAACAAAATAGAGACAAAAACAAACAATACAACAAAATAAAACATTTATTTTTTTGAAATAACAAAATCAACAAGCCATTTTCTAGAGTAACTAAGAAAGAAAAGAGACTGGGCATATTGACTCATGCCTGTAATCCCAGCATTTTGGGAGGCCAAAGTGAAAGGATTGCTTGAAGCCAGGATTTCAAGACCAGCTTAGGCAGTAAAGTGAGACATCCAACTTTGCAAAAACAATTTTTAATCAGCAAGACATAGTGGCTCATGCCTCTAGTCCCAGCTATTCAGGAGGCTGAGGTGGGAGGATCCTTTGAGCCTAGGGGTTCAAGGCTGCAGTGAGAGATGATTGAACCACTACACTCCAGAACGACAGTGAGACCCCATCTCTAAAAAAAAAAGAAAAGAAATAGAAGAACCAAGTAAATAAAAACAGAAACAAAAAAGAGACATTACAACTGATACCATAGAACTACAAATGATCATTGGAGACTATTATGAACAACTACATGCCAACAAATTGAAAGGCCTAGAAGAAATGGATAGATTTTTGGACACATGTAAGCTTCCAAAATTTAACCATGATGAAACAGGAAGCTAGAACAGACTGACAATAAGTAATGAGATCAAAGCAGTAATTAAAAGTTTTCCATCAAGGCTGAAGTGGGAGGATCGCTTGAGCCCAGAAGTTCAAGGCTGCCAGGAGCTACAATCATGCCACTGCATTCCAGCCTGGATGACAGAGCAAGATCCTGTCTCTATTTTCTAAAAAAGAAATCCCATCAAAGAACTCAGGACTGAATGGCTTCACTGTTCAATTCTACCAAATTTTAAGGAAAAACTGATGCAATTCTTCTCCAACTATTTCAAAAAACTGATGAGAAAAAAATCTTTACTAACTCATTCTACGAAGTCAGCATTACACTGATACCAAAACCAGAAAAGGACACACACATACACACACACACACACACCAAAGAAAACTACAGGCTGATATCCATCATACAGGAATGGATCAACATATGCAAATCAATAAATGTGATATATCACATCAACAGAATGAAAAACAACCCATATGATCATCTCAATAAACACAGAAAAAACATCTGATAAAATTCAACATTTCTTCATGATAAAAACTCTAAACAAATATGATACAGAAGGAACACACCCCAATACAATGTCTATATATGACAAATCAACAACTAACATGATATTGAACAGGAAAAAGCTTTTTCTCTAAGAACTGGAACAAGACAAGAATACCCACTTTCACCATTCTTATTCAACATACTACTGAAAGTTCTAGCTAATCAGGCAAGAGAAGGCCGGGCGCGGTGGCTCACGCCTGTAATCCCAGCACTTTGGGAGGCAGAGGTGGGTGGATCACGAGGTCAGGAGTTCAAGACCAGCCTGACCAACATGGTGAAACCCCGTCTCTACTAAAAATACAAAAATTAGCTGGGCATGGTGGTACACACCTGTAATCCCAGCTACTCGGGAGGCTGAGGCAGGAGAATCACTTGAACCCAGGAGGCAGAGGTTGTGGTGAGCTGAGATCACACCACTGCATTCCAGCCTAGGCAACAAAGTGAGACTCTGTCTCAAAAAAACCAAAAGAAATAAAGGGCACACAAACTGGAAAAGAAGAAATCAAATTGTCCCTCTTTGCAGATAATGTGATCTTGTATATAAAAAGAAAAAAACTAAGAACTCTGCAAAAAAAAACGCTTAGAACTGATAAATTCAGTAAAGTTGCTGGATACAAAATCAACATACAAAAATCAGTAGCATTTTTATACAGCCAATAACTAACTAGATGAAAAAATCAAGAAAGCACTCTCATTTACAATAACTACAAAAGAAATAAAATACCTAGGAACAAATTTAACCTAGGAGGTGGAAGAGCTCCACAATGAAAACTACAAAGCAATGAAAGAAATTGAAAAGGACATACACACACAAAATGAAAAGGGATTCTACACTCCTAAATTGGAAGAATTGATATTGTTAAAATGTCTACGCTACCCAAAACAACCTACAGATTGAAAAATACAAATGGCATTCCACACAGAAATAGAAAACACAATCTTAAAATTTGTATGAAACCACAAAAGATCTTGAATAGCCAAAGCAATACTGAGTAAAAAGAACAAAGTTGTAGCATCACACCACCTGACTTGGAAATATACTATAAAGCTGTAGTAACCAAAACAACATGGTACTTGTATAAAAATGGATACATAAAGGTCAATGAAACAGAATGGAAAATCCAGAAATAAATCTATGCATTTATAGCCAACTTATTTTTAAGAAAGGTGCCAAGAATATACATTGGGGAACGGACAGCCTCTTCAATAAGCAGTGCTGGGAAAACTGAATATCTCTATAAAGAAGAATGAAATGAGACCCCTACTTCTTACCATATACAAAAATTAACTCAAAATGGACTAAAGACTTAAAAGCAAGACCCAAAACTACTAGAAAAAAAATAATAGGGGAAATAGATGACAACATTGGCCTAGGCAATGATTTTATCAGTAAGACTTCAAAAGCACAAGCAACAAAAGCAAAAATAGACAAATAGCCTGTATCAAACTAAAAACTTTCTGCACAGCAAAGAACATAATCAATAGAGTGAAGAGACAATCTGTAGAATGGAAGAAAATATTTGCAAACCACTCATTCTACAGGGGACTAATATTCAGAATATAAAAGGAATTCAAATAACAACAACAATAATAATAATAATCTGATTTAAAAGTGGTCAAAGGATCTGAATAAACATTTCTCAGAAGGAGAAATATCATTTCTTTTTTTCTTTTAGGGAGTAATATTTTTACTTACCCACCTTTCTGCTTTCTTTCAACATTATAAACCAAATTACTATCTTTTTGACCCAGAGTTATGATAGGAACCATCTTGCTACAAAGTGGTAGCAGATATATGTCTGATTGTATGTTTTTATGGCCCCTCTCAACCTCTGGCTGTCACTTCTCTGTCCTTTCTCAGTTGTCCCTTAATAGTCTATTCTAACCCCTGTAAAATAGGGACAAATCTCATTGTTCTGATGTTTAAGGGAAGGCCCAGCAGTAAGTCACGTGCTCAGGAAAATTCAAAGAGTTCCTCATTGTTCTTCAGTATAGCTCCTTCCATTTGTCATGGTCTGAGGAACTACTGAACCAGTAAACCAAGCACACGGGTGTAAGTCCACAGACCAGGTGAAGGCCTAGATGGTAAAGTACATGGGCTTTGTGACTCCATGACCAACTTCCAGGCTAAGGAAGGACTGACTTAGTGAGCAATTCCAAGACCACTGAGCTCATGGTTCCCTGTGGATGTCTCCCTTGTACCTTCATCATGACCAGAGCTTGAGGGGGGGGGGGCTTTTCAATTCCCCCTGCCACACTTGCAACAGTATGAGGGATGCAGTAGAGGCCAAAACCTAAGTGACCAGCCCCAGGGAGTCAATGGGGGACACTGAAAACAATCACAAAGTTGGTGTCATTTGCTCTTAGGGGAGGCAGGGCCAGGGCAAGGACAGCAGCTGGTAGGTGAAGGGCAGGCCTGGTTCTCAGTAGTGGTAGTCATCCAGTTTGAAGGGGCCATCACAGGACATGCCCAGGTACTGGGCCTGCTTCTCAGTCAGCTTGGTCAACTTCACATTTAGCCTGTGCAGGTGGACTTCAGCCACTGCCTCATCCAGCTTCTTGGGTAGGAAGTGAACCCCAAGGGGGTATTTGTCTAGGTGAGTCTACAGCTCAATCTGCACCATCACCTGGTGTTCCTGAGGAAGAAGAGAAATATAAAAGTATGGAAAACATATTATGGAAATAATTGAAGAAAACTTCCCTGGCCTTGCTAAAGACCTAGACATCCAAATACAAGAAGCCCAAAGAACACCTGGGAAATTCATCACAAAAAGATCATCACCCGGGCACATTGTCATCAGGTTATCTAAAGTCGAGATGAAGGAAAAAATCTTAAGAGCTTTGAGGCAAAAGCACCAGATAACCTATAAGGGAAAAACCTATCATATTAACAGTAGATTTCTCAGTAGAAACTCTACAAGCTAGAAGGGATTGGGGCTTTATCTTGAGCCACCTTGAACAAGCAATTATCAGCCAAGAATTTCATAACCAGCAAAACAAATAAACAAAGGAAAGATACAGTCTTTTTCAGACAAACAAATGTTGAGAGAATTCACCACTACAAAGCCAGCACTACAAGAAATGCTAAAAGAAGCTCAAATTCTTGAAACAAGTCCTGGAAACACATCAAAACAGAACCTCTTTAAAGCAAACATCCCACAGGACCTATAAAACAAAAATACAACAACAATAACAAAAACCACAAGCTATACAGGCAACAAATAGCGCAATGAATAGAATAGTACCTCACATCTCAAAATTAACATTGAATGTAAATGGCCTAAATGTTCCACTTGAAAGATACAGAATTTCAGGATGGATAAGAATTGACCAACCAACTCTCTGATATCTTCAAGAGACTCACCTAACACATAAGGACTCACATAAACTTAAGGTAAAGCGGTGGAAAAAGACATTCCATGCAAATGGACACCAAAAGTGAGCAGGAGTCACTGTTCCTAAGTTAGACAAAACAAACCTTAAAGCAACAGTGGTTAAAAAAGAACAAGAGGGACTTTATGGAATGTTAAAAGGCTTTGTCCAATGGGAAATATCACTATCCTAAATACATATGCACCTAAAACTGGAACTCCCAAGTTTATAAAACAATTACTACTAGACATAAGAAATGAGATAGAAAGCAACACAATAATAGTGGGGGACTTTAGTACTCCACTGACAGTACTACACGGTCATCAAGACAGAAATTTAACAAAGAAACAATGAATTTAAACTATACCCTGGAACAAATGGACTTAACAAATATTTACAGAACATTCTACCCAACAACTGCAGAAAATATGTACTCTTCATAAGTGCATGGAACTTTCTCCAAAATAGACCATATGATAGGCCACAAAACAAGTCTCAATAAATTTAAGAAAATTGAAATTATATCAAGTACCCTTTCAAAACACAGTGGAATAAAACTGAAAATCAACCCCAAAAGGAACTTTCAAAACCACACAAATACATGAAAATTAAATAACCTGCTCCTGAATGATCACTGGGTCAACAATGAAATCAAGAGACAAATTTAAAAATTCTTTGAATGGAATGATAATAGTGACACCATTTATCAAAACTTCTGGGATACAGCTAAGGCACTCCTAAGAGGAAACATAGTCTTAAATACCTACATCAAAAAGCCTGAAAGAGCATAAATAGACCATCTAAAGTTACACCTCAGAGAACTAGAGAAACAAGAACAAACCAAATCCAAACCCAGCAGAGGAAAGGAAATAACAATGATCAGGGCAGAGCTAAATGAAATTGAAACAAACAAAAAGAAATACAAGAGATAAATAACACAAAAAACTGGTTCTTTGAAAAGATGAATAAAATTGATAGACCTTTAGCAAGATTAACCAAGAAAAGAAGAAAGAAGATTCAAATAAGCTCAATTAGAAATGAAATGGGAGATATGACAACCAACACCACAGAAATACAAAAGATCATTCAAGGCTACTGTGAACACCTTTACATGCATAAACTGGAAAACCTAGAGGAGATGGATGAATTCCTGGAAAGATACAACCCTCCTAGCTTAAATCAGGAAGAATTAAAAACCCTGAACAGACCAATAACAAAAAGTGAGATTAAAATGGTAATAAAAAAATTACCAACCAAAAAACTCCAGGACCAAATGGATTCACAGCTGAATTCTACCAGACATTCAAAGAAGAAATGATACCAATCTTATTGACATGATTCCACAAAATCGAAAAATGGGAAATCCTCCCTAAATCATTCTAGGAAGCCAGTGTTACCCTAATACCAAACCAGGAAAGGACATAGCAAAAAAAGAAAACTACAGACCAATACCCCTAATGAACATAGATGCAAAAATCTTTAATAAAATACTAGCTAATCAAACCCAACAACATATCAAAAAGATAATCCACCATGATCAAGTGGGTTTCAAATGCAGGGATGGCTTAATATATGCAAGCCAATAAATGTGATACACCACATAAACAGAATTTTTTTTTTATGTTTAACTTTTTTTTTAATTATTATTATACTTTAAGTTTTAGGGTACATGTGCACAATGTGCAGGTTAGTTACATATGTATACATGTGCCATGCTGGTGTGCTGCACCCATTAACTCGTCATTTAGCATTAGGTATATCTCCTAAGGCTATCCCTCCCCCCTCCCCCCACCCCACAACAGTTCCCAGAGTGTGATGTTCCCCTTCCTGTGTCCATGTGTTCTCATTGTTCAATTCCCATCTATGAGTGAGAACATGCAGTGTTTGGTTTTTTGTCCTTGCGATAGTTTACTGAGAATGATGATTTCCAATTTCATCCATGTCCCTACAAAGGACATGAACTCATCATTTTTTATGGCTGGATAGTATTCCATGGTGTATATGTGCCACATTTTCTTAATCCAGTCTATCATTGTTGGACATTTGGGTTGGTTCCAAGTCTTTGCTATTGTGAATAGTGACACAGTAAACATACGTGTGCATGTGTCTTTATAGAAGCAGGATTTATAGTCCTTTGGGTATACAGCCAGTAATGGGATGGCTGGGTCAAATGGTATTTCTAGTTCTAGATCCCTGAGGAATCGCCACACTGACTTCCACAATGGTTGAACTAGTTTACAGTCCCACCAACAGTGTAAAAGTGTTCCTATTTCTCCACATCCTCTCCAGCACCTGTTGTTTCCTGATTTTTTAATGATTGCCATTCTAACTGGTGTGAGATGGTATCTCATTGTGGTTTTGATTTGCATTTCTCTGATGGCCAGTGATGATGAGCATTTTTTCATGTGTCTTTTGGCTGCATAAATGTCTTCTTTTGAGAAGTGTCTGTTCATATCCTTTGCCCACTTTTTGATGGGGTTGTTTGTTTTTTTCTTGTAAATTTGTTGGAGTTCATTGTAGATTCTGGATATTAGCCTTTTGTCAGATGAGTAGGTTGCGAAAATTTTCTCCCATTTTGTAGGTTGCCTGTTCACTCTGATGGTAGTTTCTTTTGCTGTGCAGAAGCTCTTTAGTTTGATTAGATCACATTTGTCAATTTTGGCTTTTGTTGCCATTGCTTTTGGTGTTTTAGACATGAAATCCTTGCCCATGCCTATGTCCTGAATGGTAATGCCTAGGTTTTCTTCTAGGGTTTTTATGGTTTTAGGTCTAACGTTTAAGTCTTTAATCCATCTTGAATTAATTTTTGTATAAGGTGTAAGGAAGGGATCCAGTTTCAGCTTTCTACATATGGCTAGCCAGTTTTCCCAGCACCATTTATTAAATAGGGAATCCTTTCCCCATTGCTTGTTTTTCTCAGGTTTGTCAAAGATCAGATAGTTGTAGATATGCGGCGTTATTTCTGAGGGCTCTGTTCTGTTCCATTGATCTATCTCTCTGTTTTGGTACCAGTACCATGCTGTTTTGGTTACTGTAGCCTTGTAGTATAGTTTGAAGTCAGGTAGCGTGATGCCTCCAGCTTTGTTCTTTTGGCTTAGGATTGACTTGGCGATGCGGGCTCTTTTTTGGTTCCATATGAACTTTAAAGTAGTTTTTTCCAGTTCTGTGAAGAAAGTCATGGGTAGCTTGATGGGGATGGCATTGAATCTATAAATTACCTTGGGCAGTATGGCCATTTTCACGATATTGATTCTTCCTACCCATGAGCATGGAATGTTCTTCCATTTCTTTGTATCCTCTTTTATTTCATCGAGCAGTGGTTTGTAGTTCTCCTTGAAGAGGTCCTTCACGTCCCTTGTAAGTTGGATTCCTAAGTATTTTATTCTCTTTGAAGCAATTGTGAATGGGAGTTCACTCATGATTTGGCTCTCTGTTTGTCTGTTATTGGTGTATAAGAATGCTTGTGATTTTTGTACATTGATTTTGTATCCTGAGACTTTGCTGAAGTTGCTTATGAGCTTAAGGAGATTTTGGGCTGAGACAATGGGGTTTTCTAGATACACAATCATGTCGTCTGCAAACAGGGACAATTTGACTTCCTCTTTTCCTAACTGAATACCCTTTATTTGCTTCTCTTGCCTAATTGCCCTGGCCAGAACTTCCAACACTATGTTGGATAGGAGTGGTGAGAGAGGGCATCCCTGTCTTGTGCCAGTTTTCAAAGGGAATGCTTCCAGTTTTTGCCCATTCAGTATGATATTGGCTGTGGGTTTGTCATAGATAGCTCTTATTATTTCATAAACAGAATTAAAAACAAAAATTACAAGATTATCTCAATAGATGCAGAAAAAGCATTTGACAAAAGCCAGCATCCTTGATGATTAAAACCGTCAGAAAAATCAGCATCAAAGAAACATACCTCAATGTAATAAAAACCATCTATGACAAGACCACAGCAAACATAATACTGAAAGGGGATGAGTTGAAGGAATTCCCTCTGAGAACTAGAACAAGACAAGGATGCCCACTCTTACCACTTCTATTCAACATAGTACTGAAAGTCCTAGCCAGAGTAATCAGACAAGAGAAAGAAATAAAGGGCATCCAAATCAGTAAAAGTCAAACTGTCACTGTTTGCTGATGATATAATTGCATACCTAAAAAATCCCTAAAGACTCCTCCAAGAAAGCTCAAAACTGATAAATGCACTCAATAAAGTTTCAGGATACAAAATTAATGTACACAAATCAGTAGCTGTGCTATACACCAACAGCAACAAAGCTGAGAATCAAATAAAAAACTCAACCCCTTTCATAATAGCTGCAAAAAGTCAAATAAAATATTTAGGAATACACCTAACCAAAGATGTGAAAGACCTCTACAAGGAAAACTACAAAACATTGCTGAAAGAAATCATAGATGACACAAATGAAAACACATCCCATGCTCATGGATGGGTAGAACCAATATTGTAAAAATGACCGTACTGTCAAAAGCAATCTACAAATTCAGTGCAATTCCCATCCAAATACCACCATCATTCTTCACAGAACTAGAAAAAATAATCCTAAAATTTTATATGAAACCAAAAAAGAGCCTGCATAGCCAAAGCAAGATTATGCAAAAAAAAAAAATCTGGAGGCATCATATTACGTAATTTCAAAATATAAGATGACGGTGACCAAAACAGCATGGTACTAGTATAAAAATAGGAACATAGACCAATGGAACAGAATAGAGAGTCCAGAAATAAACCCAAATATTTTCAGCCAACTGATCTATGACAAAGCAAACAAAAACATAAAGTGAGGAAAGGACACCCTATTCAACAAATGGTGCTGGAATAATTGACAACCCACATATAGAAGTACGAAACTGGAGCCTCATCTCTCAATTTATGCAAAAATCAACTCTAGGTGAATCAAGGATTTAAATCTAAGACATGAAACTATAAAAGTTCTAGAAAATAACATCAGAAAAATTCTTGTAGACATTGGCTTAAGCAAAGATTTCATGACAAAGAACCAAAAAGCAAATGCAATAAATACAAAGATAAATAGGAGGGACTTGGTGGGGTGCAGTGGCTCACACCTGTAATCCCAGCACTTTGGGAGGCCAAGGCGGGCGGATCACGAGGTCGGTAGTTCAAGACCAGCCTGACCTACATGGTGAAACCCCATCTCCACTAAAAATACAAAAATTAGCCGGACGTGGTGGTGCATGCCTGTAATCCCAGCTACTCAAGAGGCTGGGGCAGGAGAATTGCTTGAACCCAGGAGGCAGAGGTTGCAATGAGCCGAGATAGTGCCATTGCACTCCAGCCTGGGTGACAGAGCTATACTCTGTCTCAAAAAAACAAAAAAACAAAACAAAACAAAAACTCTTAAAAGAAAAGATGCGGTTACATTTTTATGACCTTAGATTTCATATATTCTTAAATATGACACCAAAAGCACAAGGAACAACAAAAATTTTCTTAAAGAATTGGACTTCATCAAAATTTAAAACTTCGTGCGTCAAAGAATACTACTGACAGTAAAAAGAACCCACTGAATGAGAGAAAATATTTGCAAATCACATATTACAAGGGTCTAATATCTATAATACATAAATAATTTTTACAAGCCAATAACAAAAAGACAAATAAATCAATTTTAAAATGAGCAAAGGATTTGAATAGACATTCCTCCAAAGAATATATACAAACGGCTAACAAGCACATGACAGAGTTTTCAACATTATTAATTGATAAATGCAAATCAACACAATTGTCACAGGCAGAGGGTGTTCAGGTTCTTGGTGTCCTGAATGAAGAATTGGAAAAAATGCATAAACAAAGCAAGGAAGGAATGAAGGAATATACTGAAAATGAAAGTACACTCCACAGTGTGGGAGCGGCCCGAGCATAGGGGCTCAAGGGCCCCTTTACAGAATTTTGGGGAGTTTAAATAACCTCTAGAGGATTGCATTGGTTACTTCGGGTGCACTCTATGTAAATGGAGAGACTAAGTTACAAAGTTAGTTACTTGGCCTACACTCTATGGAGAGGATATTTCCTGTCATAGCTGAAGTGTGAATTGGCCTTATGTTCTCTGTCCCCATACTCTATTTTCCTGCCTCATCTCCCCCTGAGAAATGTGATCCCCATAAATCTTTATAGGAAGTAGAGGGAACAATGGTATTTTTTCTGTAACTGCCTCATGCTGGCTTGGGGCATAGTCTCTACCTATTGGGGATCATGGAACTCTCACCCTGCTCTGTCTAGTGGAGGCAGGGTAGCTCTTTCATGGCCAGCAGTGGTGTCTTCACCTAGAACTGGCTGGAACCTTTGTTGCACGATCATCTGAAGCTTGATGGTCTCTAGGCAAGAAGAAATGAATTTGATTAAAAGATTTAATGGGAACTTTAGGGGTTGGATACCCATGCTGTCAGGAATGTTTGTTATAGAGATTTAAAGGAGAAAAACAAAACCTGGTCTCTTCTAGAATCTATGCATTTCCTTAAAATCTTAGCATAAATGACCCCAGTTTGGTTCGGTTTGGTTTAGTCTGTTGGGGCTTAGTAAATGAGCTTAGTCCAAAACAATGGCCTCCCAGAATTTTGTTTAAAAAATTCCCCCATTGTGATCACACTCTCATAGCACCACTCTCAGTTACCACCATTTTGGGTTTCCAGTCTCAGCACATTATTTATAGGTTATGGTGCCCTCATGGCTGCACATTTCTTTCAGCTCCTGTCATTCCAATTGAAGAGAGCTCATATGACATTCTAGAGATGGCTGCATGCAAGCATTTAAAACCTTTGAGAGAATACAGCGCACCAGGGAGACTATTATTATGACTATTGGGAGGATAATACCAAGAGTTTGGAGTATGCTCTTTACCCAAGGTCCCCATAAACCAAACCTCCTACAATCAAATAAACCAAAGAGTGGGCTAAAGAGTTTACTCACTTGACTAAGCATTTTTTTTGTTCCCAACACAAAGAAATGAGAATATTCAAGCTGATGAATGTCCTAAATATCCTGACTTTCTCATTACATATTGTATGCATGTATCAAAATATCACATGCACTCCATAAACATGTAAAATACCAGCAAAAATAAAAATAAAAAACAAGTGACAGCCAGGCGCGGTGGCTCACGCCTGTAATCCCAGCACTTTAGGAGGCCGAGGCAGGCAGATCACCTGAGGTCCGGAGTTCGAGACCAGCCTGACCAACATGAAGAAACCGCGTCTCTACTAAAAATACAAAATTAGCCAAGTGTGGTGGTGCATGCCTGTAATCCCAGCTACTCGGGAGGCTGAGGCAGGAGAATGGCTTGAACCTAGGAGGCTGAGGTTGCTGTGAGCCGAGATCGTGCCATTGCACTCCAGCCTGGGCAATAAGAGCGAAACTCTCTCTCAAAAAAAAAAAAAAAAAAACAAGTGAGAGAACTTTCTGGTCATATTATCAGTATAATGTTGTTTCTATGCCTATTAAATTAAAATTTTTTTTTAAATGAGGGACAAAAAAACTGAAGTCCAATAGAAAAATAAATAAAATAAATCCAACAGAAAAGTAGGTAAAAGACATACACAGATAAATTATATATAAAATCTTAATGGACTTCAAATACATGAAAAATGTTCAAACTCCATAATTAAAGAAATGCAAATTAAAACAACCTTGAAATCTTATTTCCCAGCTGTCTGACTGGCAAACATTAAAATGGAAAATGGAACATTCTTTGGCATAACTGCTGTTAGGAATGCACAGGTCAGCACAATCTTTCCGTAGGGGAATTTGGCAAACCTAACAAAACTACCTGTGCATTAATGACCCAGCAATCCAACTTCTAGGAATCTGCTCTGAAGACATACCTTCAGTGTTAGTGGCAGCAGAGATCTGAGATACCCTGAGTTTTCCGCGGCATCCACAGGAGCCCACAGGAACTTCAGCTCTTGCTTCCTCAGGAGAAAGAATTCGACTGAGGTGCATAAAGCAGGAAAAGAGACCGAGGCAAGTTTCAGAGCAGGAGTGGAAGTTTATTTTAAAAGGCTTTGGAAAAGGAAAGAAACGAAAATTTGCTTGGAAGAGACCCAAGGGGGCGCCTGAAGGTCCAAGAGAGAAAAAAGGAGGCCTTTAACCTTAATCCTAGAACTCTATAGACTCGCCTCTTTCCCATGATTCTTCCCTTAGGGCGGGCTTTCCGCATGCCCAGTGGTCTCCTTGCCCTTTGAAACTGAGCATGCGCAGTGTGTTTAGGGAGTAATACGCATGCCCATCTCAGGCTTGCTTTCTTTTTCCAGTGGCGTGTACCAGTAATGTCATGCTTGACATTTTTGTCTTCTTAATGTGCATGTCCAGGAAGTTTCTCTTCCCTGGGGTCTTCATTCAATGAACACTTCAATGTTTAACAGCTGTGGATCATGAGGAGATCTTCCTCTCCATGGCTCCGGAATTATCATTTTTAGACAGGCAGTTTGATAATTGTTGAACCAGCACCTGACGTTTCTAGTGGGTGAGGGAGAACGCTCTCCTGCCCCACTCATGGCTATCTACCTATAAAATTCAGCAATAGAAAAATACAAATGCTCAAGGGTATTCATTGAAACATTGTGATTGCAAAATATTGGAGCAAACTGAAAGCCCATACAGCACAGAGCAGTTGAAAAGCCACACTGTGGACTCCGGTGACGCACTGCGGAAGAATGGCAGACCCCATGAACAGAAGCAACAGATTTCCAGAATATACTATGAAGTGAGAAAAAGCGAAATTGCATAAGGGTATCTACAGTAGACTACTACTCAGGTGGGCCGCTCTTAATTGGTTGCTGTTTATAAAGCTGAGATGACCAGCTGGAGTGATCTGGACAACAGACAGGCCCAGGAGAGGCCCAAGTACCCCAGGGCTCTTCCAGTGGTGGGAGTGTGCCCCCACCAAAGTGTCGATGAGCAACCCCTGGAAGGACACACCAGAAGGTGAGCCCTAAGGCAAAGCGCACACACCATCTGCAACTCAGCCTGGGCCGTTCCCAAGCTCTCTGGAGTGCTCAGGCCCCAAAAGGGGCGGAAATGGAGCGTGGAAAATTCTTTTGGCCAAGAACGTCTCTGACCTTCAGGAGGAAAATGAATGAATAAGCAAGCAAACAAATAAAAGCTAGAACCATCCAGGTAAAAAGTGACTACTTTAGCTTATACAGAAAAATATATAAACTATTCAATGTAAGAAATAAAAAAGATAAACTTTAGTGCTATATTATGGTCACAGGGGAAGAAAAAGTGAAAGCAGGTGAGATGGGGTTGGAGAACACAAATGAGGCACTGAATTCCAAAAGAAAAAAGACAAATAGTGAGACGAAGACTTGGAGGCAGGAAGAAAGACAGCTGGGAGTCCACTCTTAGCCAACACAAGATTGAATATACTGGGGTGCACAAGTACCTTGTAAACCAAAAATAAAATTCTAAGGCCTCCCAACCATCTGAATGGACTTCTCGTCAGCCAGGGCTCTTTTAAAATTTAACCTAAGAGACTGTTTTAGGCTATGACTGTTTTAGGGGGTTGGACATGTCTCATTATACCTCTCCAGCATTAACATGGACACAGACTTTAAGTCTGATAGGAAACAGTTTACAACCTATCCTCTCCGAAGCCTACCACCTGAAGGTTTCCTCTGCAAATAGGAACTTGGGTCTCCACAATCCTTTATCTTAACCCAGACATTCCTTTCTATTGATCCCACGTCTCTAGACAAACTCAACAAATTGTCAACCAGAAAATGTTTAAATTTACCTGTAGCCTGGAAGCCCCCATTTTAAGTTGTCCTGCCTTTCTGAACCAAACCAAGGTACCTCTTAAATGTATTTGATTGATGTCTCATGTCTCCCGTAAATATGTAAAATCATGCTGTGCCCTAACCACCTTGGGCACATTTTCTCAGGACCTCCTGAGGGCTGTGTCATGGGCCATGGTCATTCATATTTGGCTCAGAATAAATCTCTCCAAACCCCAACTCTGTTCCTCCATTGAGGAAGAAGTATGGCTGTCTCTAGGCCCCTAGGCCACTGTGTTCACTTGAAGACGAGTTCTCAAATTTTGTATTGTCCCTTCCTGCCCACCTTGAAGCCCATAGGGGATGATATCCAAGCCCAAGTCCCCACTGTGGCTAAAAGGTTCTAAAGGAACAGAAGCTGAGAGGAACCTGAGGGATCCCGAAATCACCATTTCACAGATTCTATAAGGAACTAGAGACAGAAGGAAGCAGACTCACCCAGGGCACTCAGCTGCCAGCACAGAGCTGCAACCACTCACTCAGGTCTTTCCCTGGGGTTCTGTGATCAGGGAGAATTGCATGAAATCTCAGGACCTACCTCCTCGGCTGTGTGACCTTGGGCTAGGCACTGGGTCAGGGAGAAATGTATGAAATCCCAGGACCTACCTCACTAGCTGTGTGACCTTGGACAAGGCACTGGCCTCTGCCAGGCTTAGTTTGCTCATCTGAACAACAGGGACATGTAATACCTACCTCTATGGGTTGTCATGGGAATAAAATATGGCCAAAGCCCGTTACTCAAAGGGAGTATTGACTTCTACTACCATCACAGCTGGTACCATCATTGTAGGTAATAATACTGGGTTGACTCCAAATCACACATAGTTGGGTGGGGCCTGTGCTCATGTCTGGGGGAGTTTGTCACTGTATCTTAGGGACTCTAAATCCCCTGATTCATGCTCCCTAACCTTCACCTTTATGGACTCTTCCTGGTTTTCCCTCCTACCTTCTGGTCTCGCTTCCTTAAGAGCCCTCCCTCTCAGCAGGAACGATCCCCGTAAGATGTCAGCTGACAGTGATTAGAGTGTGACTCCCACTGAGAACTAGTTAATGGGAAATAGATGGCTCTTCAAGGGCCAAGAGAATGGCTGGAATTTGAGACTCTCTGACAGTCCCTGCAGAAAGTGTGGGTGGCAGCGGGTCCCAATTTATTTGTGCTGGCCAAAGCTCACCAGCACTATTATTCTGCGCTTGTAAATTCTGCTGCTGGGGCTGGCAGTAGGAGACCTCCCTCCTGCTTCTGGGTTAATGTGCAAGAGTCTGAAAAAGTCCCAACTCATCCTCATTCAAAACTGGCTCTGGTAATCATCCACTATGATTTGCTGGCACTGTATTTCTTGAAGCCTTACTTTTCTCTGTAACTTGGCTGGTTGGAGCACTTTTGGGGAAACCAGAAGCCCCAGAATCACTTGACACAAGTAGCTGCTTTCTCAAGCTTAAGAGCAACCCTGCCCAAAGTCCACTGCCCATTCTGCCTGGAACCTCCCGTCTCTGAACCCTCCTCACTCTTGTTCTCAGATCTAAAGCCAGATTTGGGTGCTTAAGGACTCGGCAAAACATTTCTAGGTTCACTCGTTGAGTTAAATATGTACATTGAAGATTTATTTCTGCATTCTCTATTCTATTCCATTGGTCTATTTGTCTGTTTTTATGCCAGAACTATGCTGTTTGGGTTACTACAGCTTTATAGTATCTTTTGAAGTAAGGTGGTGTGATGACTCTGGCTTTGTTCTTTTTTCTCAGGATTGCTTTGGCTATATAGGGTCTTTTGTGGTTTCATATGAATTTAATTGCTTTTTCTATATCTGTGAAGAATGTCATTGGTATTTTGATAAGGATTGCATTGAATCTGTAGATTGCTTTGAGTAGTACAGACACTTTAACAATATTAATTCTTCCAGTCTATGAACACGGGATATCTTTTCATTTTTTTTTTCTGTGCCCTCTTTAAGTTCTTTCATTAGTGTTTTATAGTTTTCATTGTAGAGCTCTTTCAACTCTGGTTAAATTCATTTCTAGGTTTTTTTTTTTGTAGTCATTATGAATTAAACTGCTTTCTTGATTTTTTCAGATTGTTCACTATTAGCAAATAGAAATGCTACTGATTTTTGCGTGTTGAATTTGTAGCCTCCAACTTTACTGAGTTCATTTAGCAATTCTAACAGTTTTTGGCGTATTCTTAAGGTTTTTCTAAATATAAGATCATGTCATCTGCAAACAAGGACAATTTGACTTATTTTTTTTTCTTCTTTTTATTTGAGATGGAGTCTCGATCTGTCACCCAGGCTGGAGTGCAGTGGCGCCATCTTGGCTCACTGCAAGCTCCACCTCCTGGGTTTATGCCATTCTCCTGCCTCAGCCTCCCGAGTAGCTGGGACTACAGGCGCCCACCACCATGCCTGGCTAATTTCTTTGTATTTTTTAGTAGAGACGGGGTTTCACCATGTTAGCCAGGATGGTCCCGATCTCCTGACCTCGTGATCTGCCTGCCTCAGCCTCCTAAAGTGCTGGGATTACAGGCATGAGCCACTGCATCCGCCTGACTTATTTTTTTTCTATTTTGAATGTCCTTTATTTCTTTCTCTTGTCTAATTGCTTGGGCTAGAACTTTCAGTACTGCATTGAATAAAAGTGGTGACAGTGAACATCCTTGTCTTGTACCAGATCTTAGAGGAAAAGCTGGATGTTAGTTGGATGTTAACTGTGGATTTGTCATGTATTACCTTGATTGTTTTGAGGTGTGTTCCTTCTATACCCCATTTGTCAAGGGTTTATCATGAAAAGATGATGAATGTATGTTAAGTGAAATAAGCCAGGCATGAAAAGACAAATATTCCATGTTTTCACTCATGTGGGAGCTAACAAAGTTTATCTCATGGATATAAAGAGTAGAATGGAGATTAACGGAGATTAGTTAAGGTGGGGGGAGGTAGGAATAAAGAGAGGTTGGTTAATGGGTAACAAAAATACATTTCAATAGAAGGACTAAGTCCTTGTGTTCAACAGCACAGTGGGCTATAATTTTTGTATTTCAAAATAGCTAAAGAGGAAGATTTGTGATGTTCCCAATACAAAAAAATTGATAAAAGTCTGAGGTGACGAATATCCCAATTACCTGGATTTGATCATTATATATTATATGCATGTATCAAAATATCACATGTACCCCATAAATATTATATGCACAATTATTATATATATATTGAAAATGTACATTGAAGACACATAGTGATAAGTGGTTTTTACTTTGGTTCAATTTATATTTCAGATTAAAGGTTATTTGGAGATTTAGTTCAAGAAACTTTTAGCTCAGACGTGCTAAACCCAGTCTTGAGCACAAAGAAAGGAACCCTACACCCTCCTTTTGTCTTCCTGGCTGAGGCAGTGAGAAGGGGTCAAAAGGGCTTGGGGGTCTGATGGAAACAGTACCTTATCCTAACCCCTTCCATGAGGCAGAATTGTTGCTGGGAAAATCTGACCCCTGGGGACTATTCTGCCTGTTGTCTTGAGCCTGGGTGTTGCTGAGTGAATGCTGAACTCAATGGGTTGTGAGCAGGGTGTTGCCTGTCATTTCAGGAGGGGAGAGTGGAGATGCCTGGGGCTAGCGTGGAGTGAGCTGCGTAGCAGCCCAGGGGAACTACTGGAGAGGCTTTCATGTCTTCACTGGGGTGGAGGGTAGTTACAAGGGCAAGTTTGGTGATACCCATCAGACTGCACACATACATTTTATTGTATGTAAATCCTGCCTAAAATGTGATTGTGTATACAATTTCATTCTAAATAAAATAAACCAACATGGGCAAAAGAACTTTACAAATTTTAAAGTACTGTGGAAAGACAAGGCCACTGTCATTAGTCCAGCCACACAGTGTGAGTGTAGAATTCTGTGGAGTTTCTCAGATATGGGGGCTTATCCTAGACCCCAGGCTGGGTCTAATGAAGAATTGCCAGTAAGGGGCTTTAGCTTAGGTGCAAAGTATGAGACCCGGCTCAGGGGCCAGAGGACAGGAGTCTAGAGTTAAGCATGAAGAGCCAGGAGGAAAAAAAGGTAGACACACGGGCAGGAGTGGCACTCTGCTCAATTCCCTGCTCTGGGTAAGGAGGTGGGAGCCAGTAATGCAAATGGAAGTACATTAGGGTACTAGTTTATACTCCATTAATGGGATGAAAAGCATCTACCCCTGGGCAGTACCCACTACTTCTGTTTAACTTTCTTGCTGCCCTGTCTTTCTACCTTCATCCTGCAGTCTAGGCAATCTTCCCAGAATGGAAACCCAATCCACTCTTACTATCTCACTTAACTATACATTGACTCCCCATGGCCTTCAATCTAAAGCCAGAGTCATCTACAATGCTGTGGAGGCCTCCTGGGCTCTGGTCCTACTTGTCCTTCAGGCAGGCTCCCATGTGACCCTTTGCAGTTCCCCAAACATGTCGCTGCTTCCTCACATCAACGTGGAGCACTGGGGCTTCCAGAAGATTTTAAGAACCAGTTAGCTGGTAGTTCAGACAATGCAGATGAGAGGCAGAGAAGCCCCCACTGCGTTCTGTGAGGCCATGGTGTCAGCAGCCACAGAGGGTCTAGGAAGGGTGAGTGAAGTGGATACGAGATTCTGAGACTGAAACAGAAGCAGCTGTAACCTTAGTGAAGTTGGCATCGTCAGAGGGAGCTGAGCAGGGACAGTTCCTTCTACATCAGCATTTCTTGTGGCCTCTCCTCCTCCTACTGTCCTTAGGGAGCACCCTCCAGACTGTAATCTTCTGCTGTTAACATTTACTCCTTGCCAAGCTCTTCGCTAAGCTTCACAGGGAGAACTATGTTGACAGACCTCACAACCCCAGGTAGCAGACCTTATCACTATCCCCATTATACAGGTGGAGAAACTAAGGCCCAGAGAGGAAAAGTCTCTTGCTCAAGGTCCCACAACCGGATTTATGAGCATAAGTGATGGATGTCACTGCCAGCCCTGGCCCCTGGGCCGTTCTGCACAGCCCTCCAGGCGCTCTCTCTTTTTACTTATCAGCCGGCTACAGACAGAGCACTTAACCGAGAGTCCAGTGGGTCATGGGGGATGGTGGAACTGTGGGGTTAAAGAAGCATGACGCCTTCCTTACTCTTGGAGAAGAGCAGCCCTGGACAGATGTCCAACCAGGAGCATCTATATGGAGTTTAAGTTGCTGAGAAATAAACTCCCATTGTGTGATTTTTTTTTTTACTAAGGTATATTTGTTATAGCAGTACAACCTAGCCTATTATATTAAGAAGTAATAGCAACTTTACAATGGAGAAACCTGAAAGCTACTAACCTTAACCAAGGTTAACATCACCAGTAATATGACACATCGACATCAAGTATCTCCTGATAAAATGCACCGAGACGGGCATATCATTGCCGTGGTTTTCTTGCCAAAAATGCATAACCTCAATCTGATCACAAGAAAACTTCAGACAAGCTCAGATTGGGAAACATTCTACAAAATGGCCAATAATCTTCTTAATTATCAAGGTCTTGGTAGATTCCAGAACTGCCGCTGTTTGAAGGAGACTGAGGGGACATGACAATTAAATGCAAAGAATTGGATCCTGGATCAGGAAAAAAAAGACATTCATAGAAACTGGTGAGATGCAAATGAGGTCTGTTCGTAAACAATATTGTTTCAGTGAACATTTCCTGCTTTCAGTAACTGTATCGTGATTATCTAAAATGTGAACGTGAGGAGAAGCTGCATGAAGGAGACAGTGGAACTCTGTGTACTCATTTTTGCAACTTTTCAGTAAGTCTAAAATTCCATTTCAAAATACCAAGCTGAAATAGGTAAGAGCACATGTGGTGATGAGTTGCCATCAGAGGACCTTTATGGTGGCTTTGTCCATGGTGCATTGCCAGCAATCCTGGCTAATGTTGACCCACATCAGTTTACAAAAAAGTATTTATTACAGCAAACCCCATTTTTCCAAGTTCAGCTCAAGGCCCTCCTTATTTACTAGACCTGGGCCTCTGGGCATATTCTATTGAATGGTTTTCTTCCTCCCTTGGCATTTGATATAGAGTTATTTACTCTGTGTTTGATTATAAGCTCTCTGAGGGGCTGGACTGGTGCTCTGTAGCCACATTCCATTCTGCACAAGGCTGCAGAAAACCTCCTCAGCCGGGAATGGAGCCTGGCATTGCAGGTTGCTCAGTGACTTACTCATGTCCCTGCCTGGGAAGGCTAGACAGTAGGAGCATGCTGGTCTTCAGCAGCCCCTCCAACCCTCTTTGGGCCCCCATCGTGATAGGACCCTGAGATGATGCTGTTTTCTTCACTCGCTGTGGACTTCTGACCACAATCAGGACAACTGTTGAAGAGCCATATATTGGCCAATACTGAAGGAGCTTATGTGTTGGTACTGGGGTCAACACAGGCCTTATAAAGTAGGCGGGGGAGCTCCTTGTGTGTGACAGTGTGGATGGTGGCATGTCCGTCCCCAGAGGTGCAGGGCTGCAAGGTCAAGGGGTCGGCTTCCTAGAAGCAAGATGAGCAGGGATGTCCTCAGATCCCAGAAACAAACGTGCACAGGTTTCAAAGGCAAGGACCCCACCTGCAGCCCAGAAGTGGGAGGCGATGCTGGATAGCAGCTCAAATGAAGCCCAGCCCAGAATGCATCAGGACAGATTTGGGCAGTGAATGAACCAGTGCTTTAATAATGAAGAACAAGGCAGCTGTCGGCATTGCCTGGAGACCTGTGACTCCCACTTACTGGGCAGTTAAACGGGGCAGAGCAGGGAAAGAGGGTGTCAGCACCGCAGGGGGTGCTCTGGACCTCAGAGAAGCAGAAATGGGGTGCTGGGCAAAGTGCAGCCCCAGGACCTCAGGGCAGCAGTCCCCGAAGAAGGAGGCTGGCAAGGGCCAAGAGGTAGAGGGAAGCTTTGGAGCCCACGTTGTGGGAAGTGGTTGGTGCAGACGTGGGGGTTAAGCTGTTTACATTTGCACACTCAAACTTTCGAAAGATGACTCCTCCAAGAGTCTTGTTTTCACCAGACAGGAACTGACAGGTGGCGTTACTGACGTTGGAACAGCCTTTCAGCACGAGACTCTTAGACTCAATGTCTGTGAATGCAAAGGAGACAGGAGGGACGCCACTCAGTCCTTTGTCCTTCCACCCACGCCTGCTCTTAGTTCTTCACCTGCAGCACGGTGGCCCGGTGACCAGCAAGAGCTGGTGTGCTCCTGAAGCCCAGGCAGGAAGAAGGAGCCTGCGTGTTCAGAGTCAAGAACACCACGCGGTAATGGTAGAGAGACCCTGGAGGTCAGAGGCCTAGACTCCCACCGCCACCTGACCCTGGAGGAAGCAGACTCCTGGAGGTGAGTGGCAAGCCCAGGCTAAACAGTGAAGGTCAGAGCTGGACCTGGGACTCACATCTCCCGTGTTCCTGTGTAGCTGGAAGGTGAGGAAACCAGGAACAGATTCAAAAGGCAGTTCTCTGTTCTCAGTTCAGGAAGGGGCCAGCACCTTGGACTTCCCTGTCCCCTTCCAGGCTTTGCTTTCCGTCCTCACTCCTCTCTGGACCTGAGTCCTCCCTGCCTGAGTTTTCCCTGAGAAGAAGGAAGGGCCACCAGGAGGCATATAAGAGACCACGGCATGTCTCTGCCGTAAATTGGGGTTCTGCTATGTTTAATCGTGTTTTGAGATTCATGTACTAGAAAAAGGCCTGGGGCATTTGGACAAAAGACATAGTTACGATAGCAGCTACCTGTTATTGAGCACTTACTGTGAGCCCCAATTGCTCTGTCAGCTGCAATTCAAACAGCCCTGGAGACAGGCACCTCACAGAGGCCAAGGGACTCACGGAGGTGAAGTGACTCCACTCACCACTTGTCAGAGGCAGGGCCGCAATTTGAGTTCAAGGCCGGCTCTAGGACCAGGCATGAAGCAGGGCCGCAATTTGAGTTCAAGGCTGGCTCTAGGACCAGGCATGAAGCAGGGCCACAATTTGAGTTCAAGGCTGGCTCTAGGACCAGGCATGAAGCAGGGCTGCAATTTGAGTTCAAGGCTGGCTCTAGGACCAGGCATGAAGCAGGGCTGCAATTTGAGTTCAAGGCTGGCTCTAGGACCAGGTGTCTCACGCCTGTAATCATGGTACTTTGGGAGGCTGAGGTGAGAGGATTGCTTGAGGCCAGGAGTTTGAGACCAGACTGGGAAACATTGTCTCTACAAAAAATTAAGTTATCCAGGGGTGGTGGCACATGCCTGTAGTCCCACTACTTGGAGGCTGAGATGGGAGATTGGCTTGAGCCAGGAGTTCGAGGCAGCAGTGAGTCAGTGATCGCACCCCTGCATTCCGGCCCGGGCGACAGAGCGAGACCCTGTCTTGAACAGCAACAACAACAAAGGCTGATTCTAAACTTGTTTGGAAAAGGAGTTAGAAACCTCCAAATGCTGTTTTATAGCAAGCATCAGTGCTGAAGTTTTTTGTTTTGTTTTGAGATGGAGTCTCGCTCTGTCATCCAGGCTGGAGTGCAGTGGTGCAATCTTGGCTCATTGAAGCCTCTGTCCCCCAGGTTCAAGTGATTCTCCTGCCTCAGCCCCCTGAGTAGTACGGACTACAGGCGCGTGCCACCACATCTGGCTAATTTTTGTATTTCTAGTAGAGACAGGGTTTCACCATGTTGGCCAGGCTGATCTTGAACTCCTGACCTCAAGTCATCAGCCTGTCTTGGCCTCTCAAAGAGCTGGGATTACAGGCGTGAGCCACCGCACCTGGCCAGTGCTGAAGACTCAGAGTGAGTTAAGGAGGTGTGTTTCATGGAACATTTCTACTGTATTAAAAAAAGTGATCTTGAACAAAAAGAAACAAAAATACCCCTACATTTATGATAGCTTTGATCTGTCTGGCTTTCAGCTTAAGTCAAGTCCTATGAGAAAGAGGAAAATCGATCCCTTTTATCAGAGCTGGGGACAAGATAAGCAGAGAGAGAAAAATCTTTCTGATGTCATGTTGCCCTAGGACACAGTTTTAGAATTAAAAATCATAGCAGCTTAGACATCCCAGAAATTTTAAAAGTGAAAGGAGCTTTAAATGGATATTACTAAGGAAAGAAGCCGTTTTGAAAAGGCTACATACTGTATGAGTTCAACTATAGGATAGTGTGGAAAAGGCAAAACTCTGGAGGCAATAACAAAGATCAGTGGTTGTCAGAGCTTAGAGGGGAGGGAGGGATGCGTAGGTAGAGCATAGAGGAATTTTAAGGCAGTGGAAATACTCTATATGGTACTACTACAATGGTGGATGTATATCATTCTACATTTGTCCAAACTCATGGAATATACAACACCAAGGGGGAACCTTAATGTAAGCTATCAACTTTGGGTGAGGCTGTATCAATGTAGCCTCACTGCTTAGAAAAAATGTACCTCTCTGGTGGGGATGTTGGCAGCGGGGAGATTATGCTCTGGTGGGGATGTTGGCAGCGGGGGAGATTACGCTCTGGTGGGGATGTTGGCAGCCGGGGGAGGTTACGCTCTGGTGGGGATGTTGGCAGCGGGGGAGATTATGCTCTGGTGGGGATGTTGGCAGTCGGGGGAGATTATGCTCTGGTGGGGATGTTGGCAGCCGGGGAGGTTATGCTCTGGTGGGGATGTTGGCAGCGGGGGAGATTATGCTCTGGTGGGGATGTTGGCAGTCGGGGGAGATTATGCTCTGGTGGGGATGTTGGCAGCCGGGGAGGTTATGCTCTGGTGGGGATGTTGGCAGCCGGGGAGATTATGCTCTGGTGGGGATGTTGGCAGCGGGGAGATTATGCTCTGGTGGGGATGTTGGCAGCCGGGGAGATTATGCTCTGGTGGGGATGTTGGCAGTCGGGGGAGATTATGCTCTGGTGGGGATGTTGGCAGCGGGGGAGATTATGCTCTGGTGGGGATGTTGGCAGCCGGGGAGATTACGCTCTGGTGGGGATGTTGGCAGCGGGGGAGATTATGCTCTGGTGGGGATGTTGGCAGCCGGGGAGATTATGCTCTGGTGGGGATGTTGGCAGCGGGGGAGGTTATGCTCTGGTGGGGATGTTGGCAGCCAGGGAGATTATGCTCTGGTGGGGATGTTGGCAGCGGGGGAGGTTACGCTCTGGTGGGGATGTTGGCAGCCGGGTAGATTACGCTCTGGTGGGGATGTTGGCAGCGGGGGAGATTATGCTCTGGTGGGGATGTTGGCAGCCGGGGGAGATTATGCTCTGGTGGGGATGTTGGCAGCCGGGGGAGGTTACGCTCTGGTGGGGATGTTGGCAGCCGGGGGAGGTTATGCTCTGGTGGGGATGTTGGCAGCGGGGGAGGTTATGCGTGTCAGGTAGATGAGAAATTTCTATCACTTCTGCCCAATTTTGCTGTGAATCTAAAACTACTCTGAAAAAAAATGTGTATTTAAAAAAAAACAGTATAAAGAGGTTCGGGGCTGGGTGCTGTGGCTCACACCTGTAATCCCAGCACCTTCGGAGACCGAGGCGGGCGGATCACTTGAGTTCAGGTGTTTGAGACCAGCCTGGCCAACATGGCGAAACCCCATCTGTACTACAAATACAAAAAGTAGCCAGGTGTGGTGGCACATGTGTATAATCCCAGCTACCCAGGAAGCTGAGGCAGGAGAATCACTTGAACCCAGGAGACGGAGGTTGCAGTGAGCTGAGATCGCACCACTGCACTCCAGCCTGGGCGACAGAGCAAGACTCCATCTCAAAAAACCAAAAAGACAACAACCGAAATAAGAGGTTCAGGATAAGCATGGTGCTTGACGCCGCTGAAAAATCCATGATTACAGTTAAACACTGATTCATGATGCTATAATTGACACTTAACAAATATTAAAATCAAACTGTACCTGGATACTAGTGCTCTTAAACTCTTACGCTTTTGAGCCACATTTTGGCAGAGCCTGACTATCTCAGCCTCCCTTACAGCCAAGATGACTGTCTTACCGGGTCCTAGCCAGTGGAATGTGGGAGGAAGTGATGCATTCACATCCAGGCCCAACCCATAGAAACTCACCTGCCTTCCTCCACTACCTCTCTTTCCTACTGCTGGCAAGATGCAAAGGATACAGCACAGAGCTGCCAAGACCCGGTGAGTGGGGGCCAGAGCTACAAGACAGAAGGAGCGCATGGCCTGGACTCTGCAATGAACTGCTCCAGCAAGGAATAAACATCTATTGTATTGAGCCATAGGCTTTGGAGGTTGTTCTTTAACTTTTTAACTAGTTAAGGTTTCTAAATTTTCTTAGCTTTAATTTCTAAGACAGTGTATACTGATAGATGGAGTCCACATAAACAAAAGTTCTTTGGGGTCCTCAATAATTTTTAAGACATAGAGTCTTAACAGAGGGCCTGAGATCACAAGGTTTGAGAACTACTGATGGCCACTAATGTCCCTCTCACACAACCTGAATCACTAAGAAAGAGGGGAGGCATAGTGAAGTGCTGGTTTTCCCCATTTGTTTCCTGTGTAATTGCTGTAAGTCACATGTTAATGCCATCCAGATACTCACTGAAGTGCCTGGGCTTGAGATGTCCACCCAAGGGAAAGGAGAACAGGTGAAAAAGGAAGAGCCAGGGCTGGGAGGACACAAGAAGCCCGCCTGCATGGCCAGCACCCACCCAGGGCATCACTGGTATTGTTAACAGCAATTAACTTACCTTAACTAATAAATGTATTAACCTTTAACTGTTTGGGCAAATGTTAGAAATGTGTATTTTACAATGGTTAGTATCAAATGTGGATCTCACAATGGGTAGCGTCAAATGTGGATCTCACAATGGGTAGCGTCAAATGTGGATCTCACAATGGGTAGCGTCAAATGTGGATCTCACAATGGGTAGCGTCAAATGTGGATCTCACAATGGGTAGTGTCAAATGTGTATTTTACGATAGTTAGTATCAAACTGCTTTTGTAGAAAAGCACAATTGGTTGGATTTAAGGCCCAATTTGACTCTTTCTGCCAGGTGATCCAAGCTACCAAAAGCCAACACCTCTTAGTGACAACTAGAGAATAAAAGTGTAGATATAAAAGGAAATAAAAGTTGCACCACCCTCACCTATAGAATGATGCGACCTGGTAAAGAAGTGAATGTCAGGAGGGGTGTGATGCGCTTAGACAAATGTGACTGGATTACAAGCCACAGGAGAATAGAGTTCAAGGGAAGGGTAGCCCAGGAGAAACAGCTCTGCTCTAAGAAGGCAGCAATAGCAGCGAGCTCAAGGCTACATGAGCAGCCACTGTATTTAAAGACATTATGGCCCTTATCCCCCTTGTCCCACGACTCCCCTGGTCCTTCTGTGTTAACCCAGAATTTATGAACCAAGACTTGACATGTTTCCAGCCCAAGTCCCATAGAGGAATTAGAACTCCAAGACTTACCATTCTTAAGTTCTGCAACTAGAAAGACACACTGTTCTTCTTCATAGCATTTCCAGGGCTTCCCATGACAGGAAGTTCCATTAGATTCATAACAAGCAGGGCACTCTGCGTTGCTGGACACGTTCTTCAGGGGAGGGTCTGGAAGAGTCAGAGTCATTACTCAGGACAGTGTTATCATACAGAACATGGGAGGAAGGGGATAGGCAAGCAAAGAAAGCACCAAAGAGATCGGAGAACGGAGCAATGACATCCTTGGGAATCTCAGATCTAGCCTTGAAAACACCATGTCTCCTCAAAATATTTACTACACACAGCTCCACAGATCTGCTCTAACAGACTATCTAGCCTTTAAGAACTGTGGCCCATCAGTGTGTTTGGGTATAGACTGAGAAAGGTAAGATTTTGAGCTAAAACCAAACTATAGTCAACATGAACATTAGCTAGCCATCCTGAACATTTGCCAATAAGTGGGTGAGTGTTACTAAATCCTGCTCTGAACAAATGAACACAGGCCACTATTTAACATTATGACTAGAAGAAAAAAATTTACAATGAGACCAGCTCTGCTCTTAATTAACTGTGCTTTATGACCATGGCCAATAAACTTTGCCTTTTCAGCCACATTTTCTGTTTTTCAAAAAGAGAGCTTTGGTCTAGATCAGCAGGTCTCAAATTGTGGTGCAGGAAGCCTTGAGTCCCTGAGACCCTTACAGGGAGTACTACAAGGTTCAAACCATACTCATGATAATACTAAAATATTATTTACTTATTTCACTCTCTTTCTCTTGTGAATGTAAAGTGGAGTTTCCCAGAGGCTCCATGATGTGTGAGACTGTAACAGACTAAATGCACAAGTAAATATGAGAATCCAGCTGTCTTTTATTAAGTCAGAAACTAAAGAATTTCCAAAAGGTATAATAACAATGCCACCCTTCCCGTTGTATATGTTTCTTTTGGAGAATATAGTTATATTACTGTTGATGTGTAATGTGTTTTGGTTATTTTGGCAAACTAGTTACAATTTGTAAATATTATTAGCTTTAATTTCTAAGACAGTACATATTGATAGATGGAGTCCACATAAACGAAAGTTCTTTGGGGTCCTCAATAATTTTTAAGACATAGAGTCTTAACAGAGGGCCTGAGATCACAAAATTTGAGAACTACTGACCGGAACTAAAGTCCCTCTCGCACAACTTGCAATGTCTGTCTTCACTAAGAAAGAGGGGAGGCATGGCGGAAGTGCTGGTTTGCCCCATTTGTTTCCTGTGTAATTGCTGTAAGTCCGATGTTAATGCCATCCGGATATACACTGAAGTGTCTGGACTTGAGATGTCCACCCAAGGGAAAGGAGAATGGTTGAAAAAGGAAGAACCAGGGCTGAGAGGACACAGGAAGGCAGGAAGGCTGTCCACATGGCCAGCAGCACCCACCCAGGGCATCGCCCGCACGGCCAGCACCCACCCAGGGCATCCCCCGCACGGCCAGCACCCACCCAGGGCATCGCCCGCACGGCCAGCACCCACCCAGGGCATCGCCCGCACGGCCAGCACCCACCCAGGGCATCGCCCGCACGGCCAGCACCCACCCAGGGCATCGCCCGCACGGCCAGCAGCACCCACCCAGGGCATCGCCCGCACGGCCAGCACCCACCCAGGGCATCGCCCGCACGGCCAGCACCCACCCAGGGCATCCCCCGCACGGCCAGCACCCACCCAGGGCATCACCCGCACGGCCAGCACCCACCCAGGGCATCGCCCGCACGGCCAGCACCCACCCAGGGCATCGCCCGCACGGCCAGCAGCACCCACCCAGGGCATCGCCCGCACGGCCAGCAGCACCCACCCAGGGCATCGCCCGCACGGCCAGCACCCACCCAGGGCATCCCCCGCACGGCCAGCACCCACCCAGGGCATCCCCCGCACGGCCAGCACCCACCCAGGGCATCGCCCGCACGGCCAGCACCCACCCAGGGCATCGCCCGCACGGCCAGCACCCACCCAGGGCATCGCCTGCACGGCCAGCACCCACCCAGGGCATCCCCCGCACGGCCAGCACCCACCCAGGGCATCCCCCGCACGGCCAGCACCCACCCAGGGCATCGCCCGCACGGCCAGCACCCACCCAGGGCATCCCCCGCACGGCCAGCACCCACCCAGGGCATCCCCCGCACGGCCAGCACCCACCCAGGGCATCGCCCGCACGGCCAGCACCCACCCAGGGCATCCCCCGCACGGCCAGCACCCACCCAGGGCATCGCCCGCACGGCCAGCACCCACCCAGGGCATCGCCCGCACGGCCAGCACCCACCCAGGGCATCGCCCGCACGGCCAGCACCCACCCAGGGCATCCCCCGCACGGCCAGCACCCACCCAGGGCATCGCCCGCACGGCCAGCACCCACCCAGGGCATCCCCCGCACGGCCAGCACCCACCCAGGGCATCGCCCGCACGGCCAGCACCCACCCAGGGCATCCCCCGCACGGCCAGCACCCACCCAGGGCATCGCCCGCACGGCCAGCACCCACCCAGGGCATCCCCCGCACGGCCAGCACCCACCCAGGGCATCCCCCGCACGGCCAGCACCCACCCAGGGCATCGCCCGCACGGCCAGCACCCACCCAGGGCATCGCCCGCACGGCCAGCACCCACCCAGGGCATCGCCCGCACGGCCAGCACCCACCCAGGGCATCCCCCGCACGGCCAGCACCCACCCAGGGCATCCCCCGCACGGCCAGCACCCACCCAGGGCATCCCCCGCACGGCCAGCACCCACCCAGGGCATCCCCCGCACGGCCAGCACCCACCCAGGGCATCCCCCGCACGGCCAGCACCCACCCAGGGCATCCCCCGCACGGCCAGCACCCACCCAGGGCATCCCCCGCACGGCCAGCACCCACCCAGGGCATCGCCCGCACGGCCAGCACCCACCCAGGGCATCCCCCGCACGGCCAGCACCCACCCAGGGCATCCCCCGCACGGCCAGCACCCACCCAGGGCATCGCCCGCACGGCCAGCACCCACCCAGGGCATCGCCCGCACGGCCAGCACCCACCCAGGGCATCCCCCGCACGGCCAGCACCCACCCAGGGCATCCCCCGCACGGCCAGCACCCACCCAGGGCATCGCCCGCACGGCCAGCACCCACCCAGGGCATCGCTGGTGTTGCTGCATTCCTTTCCTTGGCAGCACTGGCTTACAAAATGAAAGTGTTCTTCAGCAGACACGTGGACAGTGAAGGCTGTAATGTGTGTCTCCTCACTGCAGTTCTCCGCTGAGCAGAACATATTCTGGTATAATCTGACTGGTGTCTCTACACAAAGACAAACACAGACTGTCAGCCCCTGGTAAGGAGGAGGTGTGGGGAGGGTGGAGACCCAGAATAGCAACTGTTTCAGGCAAAGGCAGAAAATGCAACCTCAGTATCATGCAGTTTTGAAGACACTGGAGAGGGTTTTCCGGAAAAAATAATAATAATTCTTCCCATCGGGTAACCCCTCCTTTGAGCAGGAGGCTATCAGAGGTGCAGGTTAAACTCCAGGCAAAAGTCTGATTGGGAGCCTGAAAATGGTTGGTCCAAGTGGACAGTCCCTGAAGCCTTCAATAAGTCTTAAGAGCTGTAAAAATGATCAAACAGACATGACGAGCCTTATGTGCAATATGACATCCACAGTTCCTGCCTAAAAATTGAACCTGAATCCAGTCAAGCTTCTAGCCAGAGCTATCTAATATGGTAGCCACTAGCTATTTGTGCCTATTTAAATTTAAATTTTATTAATTAAAATAAAATCAAATTTAAAATTAAGCTCCTCAGCCATAGTAGCCATATATCAAGTGCTCAGTAGCCATATGTGACTACAGTATGGCACAGTGTTAATACAGATACTTTCATCATTGAAGAAGGCACTGCTAGTCAGCCCTGATTACCTATACAAGAAACACTGAGAACAGGAGAGCAAGTTATATGAAACCAGCAGGAAGCAATCAACCACAGCTAGAATATGGGACAGCTACAGGACAAATGACCCATTTCTCTAACAAACCAATAGGATTGAACAAAAAATGATGGAAGCTGTTATAAAACAAGTTAGGCTTAACAGACCTAACAGCAAAATGGGGGATTTGGCTGGGATCCTAATTTCGCACATAGACCACATCATGACATCTTTGAAACAATTAAGAAATGTTTAAGATGGCCTGGATATTAGAAGAAATTAAAGAATTACAGTTAATTTTCTCAGGTATGATAACAGTATGTGTCTTAGTTCATTTTGTGTTGCTATACCAGAATACCATGGATTGGATAACCTATAAAGAGAATAAATTTATTATTTACAGTACTAGAGTCTGCAAAGTACAACATCAAAGTGCCAGCCTCTGGTGAAGACTTTCTTCTGCATCATCCCACGGCAGAAGGGCAAGAGAGGGTGAGAGCAAGTGAGGGAAAGAGGGGCCCAGACTCCTTTTTATCAGGAACCCACCTCCACATTCATGACATCAATGCATTCACAAGGGCGGAGTCCTCACAGCCTAATCACTTCTGAATGGTCCCACCTCTTAATACCATCACGGTGGCAATTAAGTTTCAACATTAGTTTTGGAGGGAATATTCAAACCATAGCAATATGATAGTTATGTAAAAAACAATTATGATCAGAGATAAATAGTGAAGTATTTATGGAGAAAATGACCGATGACATGTACACACATACACATATATGTGTGTACATGTATATTTATATAATGTTTAATTTAAAATACCATAGCCAAAAATACTGTAGTAAAAAAAAAAACTATAGCAAAAAAATAGCAAAATGTTAATAACTGCTGACACAGGGTAGTGGTTACATGGCAGTTCATTATACTCTTTTTCCTACTTTAAACATACATGAAGTATGTTTGAACGTGTCTATTACAAAAAAGTGAAGAAGAAATCTAAGTGCTCTGAGAAAGAGGTTACAATAGTAGTTACTCAAAACGCCCTGTGGGGAGGTCTTGAATGAAGGAAAGTGTGTTTGATCCAGAAGAGGAGGAACCATGAGAGAGAGAAATGAAAGCATCCAGAGCAAATCCTCCTGGTAATTTAACTAAGAGCTGTCCTTGCTTCTCACATCCACTGACATGCGTCTCGAATGAAGCTTTGAGGTCACGGGCATCAGTCCCAAACACCACGAGGGGCTCCTGTGGCTTTGACCCTGTGATCTTGTCTGGCTCCTGCTTGCCTCAGCCAAGCGTTGTTTCTCCTGGGAGTCACCTTTGTGGCTTCCTCTCTCCTTGGACAGCACGACCCCTTCTCTGCCTTTCTTTCCTGCCTGGATGTCCTCTCCAGCTCCCTCCCGGTGCAAGCCCCAGAGGCAGGAAGGACACACACACCCAGGCTCACCTAGAGAGGAGCTGGCTGAGGAGCTGATACAGCTGGTGTTGGCATGTGAGGGACATTCAGAGGCAATGCTGTTGACACAGGATTTTTCCCATGAATTACACTGCACGCAGCTCAGAGATTCTGAGGAGACAAGACATCCAACACCAGTCAACATTCAGTAGACATTTATAGAGCATACTCTACTCTAGGAAAAGCACTGCTCCCACCTTGCAGTAAAAGACAGACGGGATGGCATCCCTGCCCTCTGGGGATACCTGAAATTGATGCTGTAAGATGAGCCACCCTAATTAGTTTCTCCCACTGCTCACTATTCCCCAGTAGAAAGATCCAACCTTCAACAACAATACAGAGTGGCCCCTTCAAAGCAGGCTGCACGGACAGGTCTCATGGTCATCCCTGACCATAATTTGACATGTGAGGCCCTCGGGGATTTGAGAGCAAGAAGACACTGGTGAGGTGGAAAAGGGGGTCTCCATTCTAAAAAGGGGCCACGTGAGTTCTCTTACCTACAGCTGCAACAAGCACTGCAGTGATACCAGCAACGAGGATGCCCTTCATGGTGCTGGAGCTGACTTCTCCCAAGGATGGGGACCACAGGGCCTCAAGCCTGAAAAGACACAAAGAAGGCAGCCCCGGGGCCTTGGAGGGCTGCCTCTCATCCCCTGGGGCTTTTAATCGCACTGTAAGAAGCCCAGTACTCAGTCCATCCTTGTGACAGAAAGAATCAAAATCCTGAGCTGGGAGCACAAAGCTGATTCCACCCTGCTGCAAACGGAGGGCCAAGTTTTCTTAATCTCAGCCTGCAGGAGCATCTACACGCAGATATGAAACACAGCCAGGGGCCATTTCCCGTGGAGCCAATTCAGTTGCAAAATGTGCAGGCAGATTAATTTTTAGTTTCACTTTTGGGATGGGGTCCAAGAAGAAAGAGCTGGGCTGGGGTCTGTGCCCCTCCCCTCCCCCAGAGCACAATGTCCCTCCTTCAGCCAGTCTCTCACTGCATCCATATTTTACACTTAAGGGTTCTGTTGCTGCCACCACCACCGCAATAGGCAGACAGCTATTGAGCACTTACTCCATTCCAAACACTTTACAGGTATTAATTTATGTAATTCATCTACTGTAGCAGGCAGGTATTATTATTAGCATCCTAAGAAAAATCAAGCCTTAGCAGGATTGGGTAATGCACTCAAAGTCAAGGTCTTACTTCTGGGAGGTATCAGAACTGGAGTTTCGTCTGTGTCCCCAACCGCCAGCCCACACTCCCTTCCACTATTCCCACAGTCCTCAGCCTGGACACACTCAACCTGCAGCACTAAATCAGAGTCCCCCATGCACTTCCAAATAGCGTGTCACCAATGTCTCTGCACCTTGCATTCCCTGCCTGCAGATTCTCTGAGTTAGGCCTTTGAGGATTGCTAAGGTTTGGTTATATTCATTAGAATTCGAAATTAGAACTTCCAGAATTCCAACTTGCTTGTGTATCAAAGCAGGAGAGAGCAGGTGTGTGGCTCTGGCCTGAGCCCTTCTTAATCATTATCTCATTTACCCTATACACGGTCGCTGTGAGGCACACATAGTTATTTATGATTCTTCGAGGGTAGATAAAATGAAACATTCTGTTTCTCAGTAGCACTGGCTACATTCCCAATGCTCAGGAGCCACATGTGGCTGTTGGCTGCTGTATTGGCCAACGCAGGCACAGAACACTTCCATCATTGCGGAGAGTCCCAGTGGACAGTACTGTACGGCAGAGGCTATTAGCCCCACTCTACAGGTGAGAAACCTGCAGCACAGAGGGACGACGAAGTAACCCAAGCTCGCTCGGCTCCTAAGGCCAAAGCCAGTGCTCTATTCCAGGTCCTTCCAGCTCCAAAGCCTAGTTGCACCACAATAGCTGCTACTTACTGAAACACAATCGCCTTCATCTGGAAGCCCCTACTCCCACCTCACCACACACATGCACATCACCCCCCACACACACCAAACAMCCCACACAACACACACACACCACACCACACAAACACAAACACACCACATCATGAACACACACATCACACACACACCACACACCCCACACACCCCACACACATCACACACACACACCACACACCCCACACAACACACAACACACACCACACACACCACACCACACACACACCACACCCCACAACACACACACACCACACTCCCCACTGAACACACACACATCACACACACCACACACCCCACACACACCACACACCCCACACAACACACACCACACACACACCACACCCCACAACACACACACATCACATCACACACACCACACCCCACACACACACACCACACCACACACACACCACACACCCCACACAACACATACACACATCACACACACCCCACACACCAACACACCACATCACACACACACCACATCACACACACACCAAACACCCCACACAACACACACACAACACAACACACACACAAACACACCACATCATACACACACCACACACCCCACACACCACACACACATCACACACACACCCCACACACCCCACACACCCCACACCACACTACACACACACCACACACCACACACAACACACACAACACAACACACACACCCCACACACAAACACCCCACACACCACACACACCACATCACACACACACACCACATCACACCCCACACAACACACACACCACACCACACACACACACCACACACCCCACACAACACACACCGCATCACACACACACCACACAACACACACACACCACACACACCACACACCCCACACAACACACAACACATCACACACACCACACACACCACACAACACACACATCACATACACACCACACACCACACACAACACATACACATCACACACACACCACACACCACACACAACACACACAACACAACACACACAACACACACCCCACACAACACACCACATCACACACACATCACACAACACACAACACAACACACACATCACACACCCCACACAACACACCACATCACACAAAACACATCACACACACAACACACACCCCACACAACACACACAACACAACACACACACCACACACCCCACACAACACACACAACACACCACACATATACATCACACACCACACACCCCACGCAACACACACACCACATCACACACACACCACACACCCCACACACACACGCATCACACCACACACACCACAGCCCCCACACAACACATACACACCACATCACACACACACCACACATCACATGTCATACACAGCACATACACCACACACACCACATAACATCACATGTCACACACACATCACATGACACATACACCACACACCCCATGCATCACACACACACCACACATCACATGTCATACATACTACATACACACAACACACACAACACATAACATCACATGTCACACACATCACATGACACACACCACACACTCCACACATCACATACACACTGCACATACACTACATCACACACCACACACCACACATCACATGTCACAAACACCACACAGCACACCCCACACCACACACATACACCACATACACAAATACCACACCACACACCACACATACACCACACCACACACACTTCACACACACCACACATCACATGTCACACACATTAGGTACACACCGAACACACACAACACACATTAAATGCCACATACAACACACCACACACATTAAACACACACCCCACACATAAGTCACACACATCACACACACAACACACCATGCGCTAAATACATCACACATACTACACACATGCAAATCACATCACAGACACCACATACGCACCACACCACATACCACACACACGACACATCACATGCCACACATCACCTGTCACACACATCAAACACACACACAATACACCACACACCTCACACACGTCAAACAAACCCCACACACACCATATCACACACACATCACACACACCACACATGCACCATATGCCTCCACACACAGAGACACATACACATCACACACCCTCACACACACACACCCCACATGCCATTTATACCACATGCCACAAACATTACATGCACACAAACCATATACACAATACACAAACCACACACAAACACCACACACCCTACCCTGATACCCTGGTTGACTTATTAGAGATTGGTAAAAAGGAAGGGAAACCAGTCGGTCTGGGAGAAGAGGCCCATACATGATGCCAATGACCCCACCATTTAGAGATCCAAGGAGGAAAATAAAGCACATCTGGTCTGGAGCTTGTAGCAGACGTGCGCCAGCCCCTCACCCCTCCAGGCCCGGTGCACCCCTACATGCCCGGGTGCACCCCTCCAGGCCTGGAACCCCAGCTGCTTGCTTTTCTCCTCAGTGGGAAAAGAGTTTCAGGGCCATGGCCTTCTGGGAAAGGGCCTCTCAGGTCTTACAGTGTGATGGAGGAGGGGAAAGGAGAGGATGAGATGAGATGAGAAGGAGACCCCAGCAGCCCATCAAGTGCACAGATCACCTCAGCCTATGGTGAAGACCTGAAACTAGCCTCATTTTCAGGGAGAATTGATGGAGGCCCAGAGAGGTCAGGACTTGACCCAGGGRCACCTAGCAGAGAAACAGAGCCTGGGAGTGACCCCATAGCAGGACCCAGGGCCGTGCTCAACACCTCTGTGGGTAAGAGGGACCAGTGAAGCTGGGGCTCAAGGCAGGGCCCCCACCTGGGACATGAGAAGAAGTGGCATCTTAGGCCGTTTCACTAGGTACTTCCCACTGGCAAAGTTTTATTGCGGAATCTTTTCGACAGCCTGGCAGGGTCCTGCTATAATTGCTGTCATCTTCCACAGAGAAAGCTGGAGCCTAGAGAGGCTGTGAGGACACAAAACCACACAGAATGAAGAATGTCACACACAGAATGATGCACAGAACACGCACACACTACACACAAACCACACACACAGTAGCAGATGGCAAAACAACAAGAAAACTACATCCCCAGCCCACATCCTCCCTGAACTCCAGACTTCCCTCTCCTGAGCATACGACTGCCTAGGGCAATGCCAAAGGAGCAAGAGCCGCAAGAATGTCCTGGACTTGGCCGGGGAAGGACCTGAGCTGGTCCTGAATGCCCTTCCTGCGGTTTCAGCTTCTCCCAGGGCTCAGGCCCCGGCCTCGCAGTCCTCTCACCTTCTGGATCTGGCCTGGTGACTGTCCTACAGAAGGTGGTTCCCAGTAGAGGCTTAGGGCTGGTATGGGAGAGGCCTTATATAGCAGGTGGCTGTAAAATCAAAAAGCACAGCTGTCTTCTGGGGTGGGACCTCTGGGTCAGACAGGCTAAGGCTTCTGGCTCTCAGACTGTGCCCTGCCCAATAGAGCTACAGGCTGCCCAACCCTTTGGCATCTGTGCAGCTCGTGCCCTCTCTGAGACCTCTAGGAATTGGGAACAACTTTGGTCAAGGCCTGCCTTTGGCAAAATGTAAACAGGAGTAAGGTATCTTCCAGCATTGTCTGTGGCCTTCTAAGTCAATTCCATGACCTGCTAATGACAAGCACCTAACAACCTGCTAACAGTCACCATGATTAGCCCATTTATAGATGAGAAAACCAAAGCACAGAAAGAGAGCCATAAGAGATATGCTCATGGGCACACAGCCGGGGCACAGTCAGAACTCAGAGCTCCGAATCAGACTATGTGGGGTCTGTGCAACTCAGGAAAGGGCCTCAGTTTCCCACAGGCAAGTGTCTTAACCTTGTTAGATTTGAGGGTCCTCCAACCAAGATGAGTGTAAACTCACTGTGCAGCCTCATAGTGTGGTAGAGGGACCATGACGTGAAGCCCCTGCCTGCAGTGTGCTCTGCACACTGGGTGAGAGCCCACAGCAGCCATCGAGAGAGTCTTTCTGGCCAAGTGATCTGAGCAGCTACTGGTAACAGCCCAGGTCAGGTCAACTGAGGCCTCTCTGTATTAGTCAGGTTCTCTGTCCTCTAGAGAAGGTGAGTTTATATATGTATGAAGGGGAGTTCATTAAGGAGTATTGACTCACATGATCACAGGGTGAAGTCCCACAATAGGCTGTCTGTGACCTGAAGACCAAGGAAGCCAGTCTGAGTCCCAAAACCTCAAAAGTGCAGCCTTCAGTCTGTGGCTGATGGCCTGAGAGCCCCTGGCAAACCACTGGTGTAGGCCCAAGAGTCCCAAAGCCGAAGAACTTGGAGTCCGATGTTTGAGGGAAGGAAGCATCCAGCATGGGAGAAAGATGGAGACTGGGAGACTCAGCCAGTCTGGTCCTTCCTCGTTCTGCTGCCTGCTTTTATCCTAGCTGTGTTGGCAGTTGATTAGATGATGTCCACCCAGATGTAGGCTGGGAGGCTAGGCCAGTCTAGCCTTTTGACATTTTTCTGCCTGCTTTATATTCTAGCAGAGCTGGCAGCTGATCAGATGGTGCCCACCCAGACTGAGGGTGGCTCTGCCTCTGCCAGTCCACGGACTCGAGTGTTAATCTCCTTTGGCAACACCCTCACAGACACATCCAGGAACAATACTTTGCAATACTTTTCAATCCAATCATGTTGACACTCAATATTAACCCTCACACTCTCCCAGTCTCCTCACACTGTGCCATGGGTGCTCCTGGTTTTGAGTGTGGACTTGAGTTATCTTCCCTCCTCATCTTTCCACTGTGCTGACACTTTATACACACACGGTGGGGAGTGGGAGGAGCCCACTCAGCCGAGGATGCAGAGGTTGAGGGGCACACATCATACCAGTATCCCCCAGCCTGCATTTAAACCTTGCAGTTCCCTGCTCTTGAAAATACCCCTTGGGGATGGCTACGCTACCTGTGTCTCAGCTCTCTCTTCCTTCCCCAAACTCATGCATTCATTCAACAAACATTTTTTGAGCACCCTCCCTGTCTTAGGCCTACTGTAGGAAACCGGGAGGTATTTGTGAGCAAAAAGACAAAGACCTTTGCCCTCCTGGAGTGTAGTCTAGAGAGGACTACAGACAACATAAATTAAAGTGGTAAATAAGCAAATCACAGGGAAAGTCAGAATGTGGTGACTGCTCTGGCAAAAAGACAAAGAGTAGGATAAGTCATCAACCATGCTAGGGGGTGAGCAGGTGCAGGCTTCCACTTTCAATGAGGAGGTTGTAGTAGGTCTCATGGAGAAGACAAAATCTGAGTTATTTTTATAAGCAGAGACTCTGGCCATCTCTTATTCTCTCCTCTCCTCACCATCTGCCTTCAGGCTGCTTATCACAGCATTTTCCTAAAAAAAAAAAAAAGCAGCTTCCTCCCTAACAGAACCATATTGTTTCCCAGCACACATTAGTCAGTCACCTGGCAGGGCACAACAAGAGAAGTGGCACAGTAATATCCAATGGGGTGTGTGTGGGCTTGCGGGTTTCAGGAATGTGGCCTCCCTGAGCCACCGATGGAGGATCCAAAGAGCTCATGAACACTGCCTCTGAGATAACAGCTCTGGTGTCAGGCTGAGTACTGGCATGAGAAAATCGGGCTGATCAATGTTAATTCCTCTCAGAAGGCACCAGATACTCAGGCAAATGGACCCAAAGCGACCACAAAGATCTGAGTCTGAATCCAGACTTTGTCCCTCACATCACATAAGTTACTTATTAACCGCACTTGTTGGGCCAGAGCTCTTTGTCTTTAAAATGGAATCATCAGGCCCTGAAGAAATGCCTCCTGATGATTTATTTACTCCTGGAATCATCACCCCATTCCTCTGTGTTTTTCCAAGGCCATCTATCTATCAATAATGTCCTGAGGACGTCTAACCATGTGGGAATTATTATTAATAGCACGTATGATTTTAACTGAGCCATTTATCAGTAAGGACACTGAAGACAATGGAAGCCCCCTGAACTAGGCTGCGCAGTCTATACGGCTGCTCACAGCAGTCCTGGGTTCATCCTTTTGAAGCCCCGGCAGTGCGCCAAGGGTACCCCCAGCTGCCTTGACAGATAAGGAAACAGGCCCAGGGAGGCCTTCCCTATAGGCCTTCAGACGCCTGGGCCAGCAATCTTTCCATTTCAACATGGCTCAGGTGGGACGCAGCCTCCACCCGCAGGATTGGAGACATCGACTTGACTCCACTCCTCCCTCTCCCAGAGGTTCACCTCTCTGTCATTAATGTGGGGTCCAAGGACCTGAATCAGTCACAGGGAATTATGAAAAAGCACCTCTCTAAAGCCGACTCCTCCTGACTAGCAAAGAAGTCCAGAGACCCAGGAGAAGCTAAGTCGCAACAAGCAGCCCAACTTTTAAACTAAGAAGCCCTGGGCACACCGTAGGCACCCTAGTTCCATCATCTTCTTAGAAGGGGACAAGGTTGGCTGTCCCTACAGCCTGCTGAGCTGAGGCAAACCTGGAGCTCAGCTGAGTCCCAGTGAGTCATCCGGTGGTAAATCTGGAACCACTTTAGGAAACGGCCTTTTCCCAAAGCTTCCCTTGATGACCAGCAAAGCTTGGAGGTGAGTTTCCAGGGGAGCCTACCCCATTTTGGAATAAGCATGTGGAGGTGTGTAGGGTCAGGTCAGGGAAGCTGGGGCAGGAATTATATCCAACAGGAGTCTAAGCCAAAGACTCAGCAAAAGGATCAAGAGCATCCACCCCTGACCCGCCTTCTCTCTGTGTTTGCTTCTGGGAGCCTTTCATTGACTAGCTCATTCCTCCCGCTTGGAGATGTGAGAATAGGCTAAAAATAATGAATTATTGCCCCCAACATTCCTGCCCCCCAGTCACCTTGCAGAGGAAATGAGCATATCCTGGAAGATAAACTTCCCCAATAGTCCATGGCCTTATGTAAGATGATGATCCCCCCGAGTCTTGGGTTTCCCATCTTTCAAGTGGCAAAAACAGCACTACGGCCTGAGTAGCTATTCTGAGGGTCAAAGGAGGTCGCACAAGCCGACAATGATGATGAAACTATCACTTCATAAAGGGCTCTAAAAACAATGGCTACTACTGCTATCATTGTTCTCTGAGCTCATATCGGCAACTGCACAGCCCAGAGGGACATTCGCATCTGCACAGGGCAATGGTCTGAGGTGAGGTCCAGCCTCAGAACACACTTCTACCACAATTAGATACTACTTCATGCCCACTAACACAAATAAAATCAAAAAGAAAGAAAGAAAAAGAGACAGAGAAAGAAAGAAAGAAAGAAAGAGAAGGAAGCAAGGAAAATTGCGAGCATTAGGAAGGATATGGAGAAATTGGAACCTTCATACACTACTGGTAGGAATGTAAAATGGTGCAGCCACTGTGGAAAGAGTTTGGCAGTTCCTCTAAGAGAGTTACCCATGACACAGCAATTCCACACCTAGGTATATACCCAATATAATTGAATGAAAACAACTGTTTATACAAAAACTTGTACATGAATAATCATAGCAGTATTATTAGACTTAATTTACGAGTATATATATATATATATGTGAAAGTTACGGGTGCAACTTTATACCATAACTTTCTTCACATCTCTCTTCCCCACTTCTGGTTTCTTTTTGCCTTTTCAAGTAAATGATTTTAAAATGGCTTCCAAATTACACAAAATTATTTTTTATAAAATGCAATTTACAGAATTATATATTAATTAGAATTTTTATTTCTAGTAATCTTAAATTTTAGTGAAAATGGGAAGCAAGAAATCTGAACTGTATGTCAGATGTTAGCATTTTATAGATAAAATTATTTCACTATTTCAGAACCATGTTTTCTCATATAATAATTATTTACATTGGAAATGACCCAGACATTCAATAAGCATTTGTTATTTAATTTAAAATAATGTTAAGATTTTACATTACACAAAAAGTCCACTTATAGGTATTTATCTCATGTATATGTATTTAATTAATTTATTTTTTAACAATTTAGATTACTCTTGAAAACCAAGGTATTATATAAAGTTAGTCATTATTTAAAGTTATTTCCCTAATAACCACAGAGGTCAATATAAAATTTATTTAGACAGAAATGTATGCTGATGACTCTAAAGACATTTTTATTATTTTACTAATAATTTTTGAAGCCAGTTTTATTTGTCAAAGATTCACATGAACTTGAAAACCATTTAGACTTAATTTGTGAGTACTTGTTTACTTATATGCCAATTTGGTAGCAAGATAGGTGAAACGAAAAGCTGGTTCTTTGAAAAGATAAATGAAATTGATAGACCACCAGTGAGACTAACCAAAAAAAGAAAAGAGGGGATCTAAATCAGCTCAATTAGAACAAAACAGGAGATATCACAACCGACACCACAGAAATACAAAAGACCATTCAAGGCTACTATGAACATCTTTACATGCATAAACTAGAAAACCTAGAGGAGATAAATAAATTCCTGGAAATATACAACCCTCCTAGATTAAACCAGAAAGAAAGAAAATATTTGAACAGACCAATAACAAGCAGAGAGATTGAAATGGTAAATTTTTTAAAAAGTTGCCAATAAAAAGAAGTCCAGGACCAGACAAACTCACAGCTAAATGCTATCAGACATTAAAAGAAGAGGTAGGCACAGTGGCTCATGCCTGTAATCCCAGCACTTTGGGAGGCCGAGGTGGGCGGATCACTTGAGGCCAGGAGTTCAAGACCAGCCTGGCCAACATGGTGAAACCCCATCTCTACTAAAAGTACAAAAATTAGCCAGGCATGATAGCGCACACCTGTAATTCCAGCTACTAGGGAGGCTGAGGCAAGAGAATTGCTTGAACCCAGGGGGTGGAGGTTGCAGTGAGCCAAGATCACGCCACTGCACTCCAGCCTGGGTGACAGAGCAAGACGCCCTCTCAAATAAATAAATAAATAATTGGTACCAATCTTATTGACACTATTACAAAAAGTAGAGAAAGACGGAATCCTCCCTAAATCATTCTATGAATCCAGTATCACCCTAATACCAAAACCAGTAAAGGATGTAACCGAAAAAGAAAACTACAGACCAATATCCCTGATGAATATAAATGCAAAAATCCTCAACAAAATACTAGCTAAGCAAATCCAACAGCAAATCAAAAAGATAATCCATCATGATCAAGTGGGTTCCATACCATGGATGCAGGGATGGTTTAACATATGTAAGTCGACTACCGAGCCAAGATGGCCGAATAGGAACAGCTCCGGTCTACAGCTCCCAGCGTGAGCGACACAGAAGACGGGTGATTTCTGCATTTCCATCTGAGGTACCGGGTTCATCTCACTAGGGAGTGCCAGACAGTGGGCGCAGGACAGTGGGTGCAGCGCACCATGCGTGAGCCGAAGCAGGGCGAGGCATTGCCTCACTCGGGAAGCACAAGGGATCAGGGAGTTCCCTTTCCTGGTCAAGGAAAGGGATGACAGACGGCACCTGGAAAATCGGGCCACTCCCACCCGAATACTGCGCTTTTCTGACAGGCTTAGGAAATGGTGCACCAGGAGATTATATCCCGCACCTGGCTCAGAGGGTCCTACGCCCACAGAGTCTCACTGATTGCTAGCACAGCAGTCTGAGATCAAACTGCAAGGTGGCAGCAAGGCTGGGGGAGGGGCGCCCACCATTGCCCAGGCTTGCTTAGATAAAGAAAGCAGCCGGAAGCTCGAACTGTGTGGAGCCCACCACAGCTCAAGGAGGCCTGCCTGCCTCTGTAGGCTCCACCTCTGGGGGCAGGGCACAGACAAACAAAAAGACAGCAGTAACCTCTGCAGGCTTAAATGTCCCTGTCTGACAGCTTTGAGGAGAGCAGTGGTTCTCCCAGCACACAGCTGGAGATCTGAGAACGGGCAGACTGCCTCCTCAAGTGGGTCCCTGACCCCTGACCCTTGAGCAGCCTAACTGGGAGGCACCCCTCAGTGGGGGCAGACTGACACCTCACACGGCCGGGTACTCCTCTGAGACAAAACTTCCCGAGGAACGATCAGACAGCAGCATTCACGGATCACGAAAATCCGCGGTTCTGCAGACACCGCTGCTGATACCCAGGCAAACAGGGTCTGGAGTGGACCTCTAGCAAACTCCAACAGACCTGCAGCTGAGGGTCCTGTCTGTTAGAAGGAAAACTAACAAACAGAAAGGAAATCCACACCAAAAACCCATCTGTACATCACCATCATCAAAGACCAAAAGTAGATAAAACCACAAAGATGGGGAAAAAACAGAGCAGAAAAACTGGAAACTCTAAAAAGCAGAGCACCTCTCCTCCTCCAAAGGAACGCAGTTCCTCACCAGCAATGGAACAAAGCTGGACGGAGAATGACTTTGACGAGTTGAGAGAAGAAGGCTTCAGACAATCAAATTACTCCGAGCTACAGGAGGAAATTCAAACCAAAGGCAAAGAAGTTGAAAACTTTGAAAAAAATTTAGACAAATGTATAACTAGAATAACCAATACAGAGAAGTCCTTAAAGGAGCTGATGGAGCTGAAAGCCAAGGCTTGAGAACTACGTGAAGAATGCAGAAGCCTCAGGAGCCGATGCGATCAACTGGGAGAAAGGATATCAGTGATGGAAGATGAAATGAATGAAATGAAGTGAGAAAGGAAGTTTAGAGAAAAAAGAATAAAAAGAAATGAACAAAGCCTCCAAGAAATATGGGACTATGTGAAAAGACCAAATCTACGTCTGATTAGTGTACCTGAAAGTGACGGGGAGAATGGAACCAAGTTGGAAAACACTATGCAGGTTATTATCCAGGAGAACTTCCCCAATCTAGCAAAGCAGGCCAACATTCAGATTCAGGAAATACAGAGAATGCCACAAAGATACTCCTCGAGAAGAGCAACTCCAAGACACATAATTGTCAGATTCACCAAAGTTGTAATGCAGGAAAAAATGTTAAGGGCAGCCAGAGAGAAAGGTCGGGTTACCCACAAAGGGAAGCCCATCAGACTAACAGCAGATCTCTCGGCAGAAACTCTACAAGCCAGAAGAGAGTGGGGGCCAATATACAACTTCTTAAAAAAAAGAATTTTCAACCCAGAATTTCATATCCAGCCAAACTAAGCTTCATAAGTGAAGGAGAAATAAAATACTTTACAGACAAGCAAATGCTGAGAGATTTTGTCACCACCAGGCCTGTCCTAAAAGAGCTCCTGAAGGAAGCACTAAACAAGGAAAGGCACAAACGGTACCAGCCACTGCAAAATCATGCGAAAATGTAAAGACCATCGAGATTAGGAAGAAACTGCATCAACTAACAAGCAAAATAATCAGCTAACAGCATAATGACAGGATCAAATTCACACATAACAATATTAACTTTAAATATAAATGGACTAAATGCTCCAATTAAAAGACACAGACTGGCACATTGGATAACGAGTCAAGACCCATCAGTGTGCTGTATTCAGGAAACCCATCTCATGTGCAGAGACACACATAGGCTCAAAATAAAAGGATGGAGGAAGACCTACCAAGCAAATGGAAAACAAAGAAAGGCAGGGGTTGCAATCCTAGTCTCTGATAAAACAGACTTTAAACCAACAAAGATCAAAAGAGACAAAGAAGGCCATTACATAATGGTAAAGGGATCAATTCAACAAGAAGAGCTAACTATCCTAAATATATATGCACCCAATACAGGAGCACCCAGATTCATAAAGCAAGTCCTGAGTAACCTACAAAGAGACTTAGACTCCCATACAATAATAATGGGAGACTTTAACACCCCACTGTCAACATTAGACAGATCAACGAGACAGAAAGTTAACAAGGATACCCAGGAATTGAACTCAGCTCTGCACCAACCAGACCTAATAGACATCTACAGAACTCTCCACCCCAAATCAACAGAATATACATTTTTTTCAGCACCACACCACACCTATTCCAAAATTGACCACATAGTTGGAAGTAAAGCTCTCCTCAGCAAATGTAAAAGAACAGAAATTATAACAAACTGTCTCTCAGACCACAGTGCAATCAAACTAGAACTCAGGATTAAGAAACTCACTCAAAACCGCTCAACTACATGGAAACTGAACAACCTGCTCCTGAATGACTACTGGGTACATAACGAAATGAAGGCAGAAATAAAGATGTTCTTTGAAACCAATGAGAACAAAGACACAACATACCAGAATCTCTGGGATACATTCAAAGCAGTGTGTAGAGGGAAATTTATAGCACTAAATGCCCACAAGAGAAAGCAGGAAAGATCCAAAATTGACACCTTAACATCACAATTAAAAGAACTAGAAAAGCAAGAGCAAACACATTCAAAAGCTAGCAGAAGGCAAGAAATAACTAAAATCAGAGCAGAACTGAAGGAAATAGAGATTTTAAAAAAACCCTTCAAAAAATTAATGAATCCAGGAGCTGGTTTCTTAAAAGGATCAACAAAATGGATAGACCGCTAGTGAGACTAATAAAGAAAAAAAGAGAGAAGAATCAAATAGACGCAATAAAAAATGATAAAGGGGATATCACCACCTATCCCACAGAAATACAAACTACCATCAGCGAATACTATAAACACCTCTATGCAAATAAACTAGAAAATCTAGAAGAAATGGATACATTCCTCGACACATACACTCTCCCAAGACTAAACCAGGAAGAAGTTGAATCTCTGAATAGACCAATAACAGGATCTGAAATTGTGGCAATAATCAATAGCTTACCAACCAAAAAGAGTCCAGGACCAGACGGATTCACAGCCGAATTCTACCAGAGGTACAAGGAGGAACTGGTACTATTCCTTCTGAAACTATTCCAATCAATAGAAAAAGAGGGAATCCTCTCTAACTCATTTTATGAGGCCTACATCATCCTGATACCAAAGCCGGGCAGAGACACAACCAAAAAAGAGAATTTTAGACCAATATCCTTGATGAACATTTATTCAAAAATCCTCAATAAAATACTGGCAAACCAAATCCAGCAGCACATCAAAAAGCTTATCCACCATGATAAAGTGGGTTTCATCCCTGGGATGCAAGGCTGGTTCAATATATGCAAATCAATCAATGTAATCCAGCATATAAACAGAACCAAAGACAAAAACCACATGATTATCTCAATAGATGCAGAAAAGGCCTTTGACAAAATTCACAACCTTCATGCTAAAAACTCTCAATAAATTAGGTATTGATGGGACGTATCTCAAAATAATAAGAGCTATCTATGACAAAGCCACAGCCAATATCATACTGAATGGGCAAAAACTGGAAGCATTCCCTTTGAAAACTGGCACAAGACAGGGATGCCCTCTCTCACCACTCCTATTCAACATAGTGTTGGAAGTTCTGGCCAGGGCAATTAAGCAGGACAAGGAAATAAAGTGTATTCAATTAGGAAAAGAGGAAGTCAAATTGTCCCTGTTTGCAGACGACATGATTGTATATCTAGAAAACCCCATTGTCTCAGCCCAAAATCTCCTTAAGCTCATAAGCAACTTCAGCAAAGTCTCAGGATACAAAATCAATGTACAAAAATCACAAGCATTCTTATACACCAATAACAGAAAAACAGAGAGCCAAATCATGAGTGAACTCCCATTCACAATTGCTTCAAAGAGAATAAAATACTTAGGAATCCAACTTACAAGGAACGTGAAGGACCTCTTCAAGGACAACTACAAACCACTGCTCAATGAAATAAAAGAGGATACAAACAAATTGAAGAACATTCCTTGCTCATGGGTAGGAAGAATCAATATCGTGAAAATGGCCATACTGCCCAAGGTAATTTATAGATTCAATGCCATCCCCATCAAGCTACCAATGACTTTCTTCACAGAATTGGAAAAAACTACTTTAAAGTTCATATGGAACCAAAAAAGAGCCCACATCGCCAAGTCAATCCTAAGCCAAAAGAACAAAGCTGGAGGCATCACACTACCTGACTTCAAACTATACTACAAGGCTACAGTAACCAAAACAGCATGGTACTGGTACCAAAACAGAGAGATAGATCAATGGAACAGAACAGAGCCCTCAGAAATAACGCTGCATATCTACAACTATCTGATCTTTGACAAACCTGAGAAAAACAAGCAATGGGGAAAGGATTCCCTATTTAATAAATGGTGCTGGGAAAACTGGCTAGCCATATGTAGAAAGCTGAAATTGGATCCCTTCCTTACACCTTATACAAAAATTAATTCAAGATGGATTAAAGACTTAAACGTTAGACCTAAAACCATAAAAACCCTAGAAGAAAACCTAGGCATTACCATTCAGGACATAAGCATGGGCAAGGACTTCATGTCTAAAACAGCAAAAGCAATGGCAACAAAAGCCAAAATTGACAAACGGGATCTAATTAAACTAAAGAGCTTCTGCACAGCAAAAGAAACTACCATCAGCATGAACAGGCAACCTACAAAATGGGAGAAAATTTTCGCAACCTACTCATCTGACAAAGGGCTAATATCCAGAATCTACAATGAACTCCAACAAATTTACAAGAAAAAAAACAAACAACCCCATCAAAAAGTGGGAAAAGGATATGAACAGACACTTCTCAAAAGAAGACATTTATGCAGCCAAAAAACACATGAAAAAATGCTCATCATCACTGGCCATCAGAGAAATGCAAATCAAAACCACAATGAGATACCATCTCACACCAGTTAGAATGGCAATCATTAAAAAGTCAGGAAACAACAGGTGCTGGAGAGAATGTGGAGAAATAGGAACACTTTTACACTGTTGGTGGGACTGTAAACTAGTTCAACCATTGTGGAAGTCAGTGTGGCGATTCCTCAGGGATCTAGAACTAGAAATACCATTTGATCCAGCCATCCCATTACTGGGTATATACCCAAAGGACTATAAATCATGCTGCTATAAAGACACATGCACACGTATATTTATTGAGGCACTATTCACAATAGCAGACTTGGAACCAACCCAAATGTCCAACGATGATAGACTGGATTAAGAAAATGTGGCACATATACACCATGGAATACTATGCAGCCATAAAAAATGATGAGTTCATGTCCTTTGTAGGGACATGGATGAAACTGGAAATCATCATTCTCAGTAAACTATCGCAAGGACAAAAAACCAAACACTGCATGTTCTCACTCATAGATGGGAATTGAACAATGAGAACACATGGACACAGGAAGGGGAACATCACACTCTGGGGACTGTTGTGGGGTGGGGGGAGGGGGGAGGGATAGCATTAGGAGATATACCTAATGCTAAATGACGAGTTAATGGGTGCAGCACACCAGCATGGCACATGTGTACATATGTAACTAACCTGCACATTGTGCACATGTGCCCTAAAACTTAAAGTATAATAATAATTTAAAAAAAAAGAAAATGCAAACTAATCTACACTGACAAAAAAAAGTAAGTCAATAAATGTGATATACCACATAAACAGAATTAAAAACAAAAATCACATAATCATATCAAGAGATGCAGAAAAAGCATTTGACAAAATCCAGCATCCCTTTATGATTAATACCCTCAGGAAAATCTACATAGAAGGGGCATACCTTAAGGTTAGAAAAGCCATCTATGACAAACCCACAGACAACATTATACTGAATAGGGAAAAGTTGAAAGCATTCCCCATGAGAACTACCACAAGAGAAGGATGCTCACTCTCACCACATCTATTCAACTTAGTACTAGATATCCTAGCCAGAGGAATCAGACAAGAGAAATAAATAAAGGGCATCCAAATTGGTAAAGAAGAAGTAAACCTGTTGCTGTTTGTGGATGGTATGATTGTATACCCAGAAAGCCATATAGACTCATGCAAAAAGCTCCTAGAACTGGTAAATGAATTCAGCAAAGTTTCAGGATACAAAATGTACACAAATCATTAGCTCTGCTATACACCAACAGTGACCAAGCTGAGAATCAAATCAAGAACTCAATCCCTTTCACAATAGCTACAAAAAAATTAAATACTTAGGAATATACCTAACCAAGGACATGAAAGACCTCTACAAGGAAAACTACAAAACATTGCTGAAAGAAATCATAGATGACACAAACAAATGGAAACACATCCCATGCTCATGGATGGGTAGAATCAATGTTGTGAAAATGACCATACTGCCAAAAGCAATCCACAATTTCAACACAATTCTCATCAAAACGCCACCATCATTCTTCACAGAACTAGAAAAAACAATCCTAAAATTCATATAGGACCAAAAAAGAGCCCACATAGCCAAAGCAAGACTAAGCAAAAAGAACAAATCTGAAGGCATCACTTTACCCAACTTCAAACTATACTGTAAGGACATAGTCACCAAAACAACATGGTACTGGTATAAAAAATAAGCATATAGGCCAATGGAACAGAATAAAGAACCAAGAAATAAAGCCAAATATTTACAACCAACTGATCTTTGACAAAGCAAACAAAAACATAAAGTGGGGAAAGGACACCTTATCCAACAAATAGTGCTGGGATAATTGACAAGCCACATATAGAAGAATGAGACTAGATCCTCATCTCTCATCTTATACAAAAATCAACTCAAGATGGATCAAGGACTTACATCTAAGACCTGAAACCATAAAGATTCTAGAAGATAACATCAGAAAAACCCTTCTAGACATTGGCTTAGGCAAAGACTTCATGACCAAGAACCCAAAAGCAAATGCAACAAAAACAACGATAAATAGATGGGACTTAATTAAACTAAAAAGCTTCTGCACAGACAAAGAAATAATCAGCAGCGTTAATGACAACCCACAGAGTGGGAGAAAATTTTCACAATCTATACATCCGACTAAGGACTAATATCCAGAATCTGCAATGAACTCAAACAAATCAGCAAGGAAACCACAAACAATTCCATCAAAAAGTGGGCTAAGGACACAAATAGACAATTCCCAACAGAAGATATACAAATGGCCAACAAACGTATCAAAAAATGCTCAACATCGCTAATGATCAGGGAAATGCAAATCAAAACCACAAGGCAACACCACTTTACTCCTGCAAGAATGGCCATAATCAAAAAATTAAAAACTAATAGATGTTGATGGAGATGCGCTGAACAGGGAAGACTTCTACACTGCTGGTGGGGATGTAAACTAGTACAACCACTATGGAAAACAGTGTGGAGATTCCTTAAAGAGCTAAAAGTACAACTACCACCTGATCCAGCAATCCCACTACTTTCCCAGAGGAAAGGAAGTTATTTATTATTTATTATTATACAAAAAAGATTATTATTATTTGTTATGCAAAAAAGATACTTGCAGACATATGTTTATAACAGCACAATTTACAATTGCAAAAATGTGGAACCAACCAAAATGCGCATCAACCAACAAGTGCATAAATAACCTGATAAATACATATATGATGGAATACTACTCAGCCTTAAAGCAAATAAATTAATAGCATTTGCAGCGACCTGAATGAGATTAGAGACTATTATTCTAAGTGAAGTAACTCAGGTATGGAAAACCAAACATTGTATGTTCTCACTCATAAGTGGGGGCTAAGCTATGAGAATGCAAAGGCATGGGAATGACACAGTGGACTTTGGGGACTCAGGGAAAGGGTGGAAAGGGGTGAGGGATAAAAGACTACAAATTGGATGCAGTGTGCACTGCTCAGGTGACAGGTGCGCCAAAATCTCACAAATCACCACTAAAGAATGTACTCATGTGGCTGGGTGTGGTGGCTCACGCCTGTAATCCCAGCACTTTGGGAGGCTGAAGAGGGCAGATCACCTGAGGTCAGGAGTTCAAGACCAGCCTTACCAACAAGGAGAAACCCCGTCTCTACTAAAAGTACAAAAAAATTAGCCGGGCACGGTGGCCCATGCTTGTAATCCCAGCCACTCGGGAGGCTGAGGCAGGAGAATCGCTTGAACCCAGGAGGCAGAGGTTGTGGTGAGCCGAGATCGAGCCATTGCACTCCAGTCTGGGCAACAAAAGTGAAACTCTGTCTCAAAAAAATAAAATAAAAAAGAATGTACTCATGTAACCAAATACCACCTGTTCCCCAATAACCCATGGAAATCAAAATTTTATATATATATATATATATATATATATATATATATATATATATACACATATATATATATATACATATATATATATATACATATAATAGGTAACAGTTGTTTTATCATGATTAAATTGGTATCAAATTAATAGGTATAAGTGAAAAAACTAATCACTTACTAGTCATAAAAAAATGCAATAATATCATGCACTATGTATTACCAAGAAAGTAACTCAGATAAGCAGCAGATGATGAGAAGAGTATCCTGAAAATTCTGGATATATCCTTATGTATATCCTTAAAAATCACTTACTTCCCTTTATGTAATTTTGATTTTAATTTAAATGTCATGTATTTTCAGCTAACATTTAAATTAGTCTTTTGTTGTAAAACTTCAGTTGTTATAAATCATGAAACATTTTCAGAAACTTGCTTGGTGGTAGAAATAATTCTTTCCTTCTATTATATAATTATATCACATTAAATATTTATAAAATTATGTTTGAGAAATATATTCTGACCTTGAACATAATCAAATTCAAGATCAACATTATAATAGAATGAAGATTTATGGGGAAATGTTGCAATCAGTAAAATCTTTAAAGACCAGGTAATAGTAAAGAAGATACCCGTCTGAAATATTGCAGAGTGGTAGATATCACATTTTATCAAAGGACAGTAACGTTTGATCTTCTGTTTCCCACAGAACTCTGGATCCGGTTAACAGCAGGTAGGGAGAAGCAGCGGCAATATTTCAAATGTCCCTATTTGATCTGAGCAGGTAGAAAAAAATTGCATTCTACTTCAGGTAGTCTGTGAAATTAAGGTTCAGTTATTTTTCAAGATTGGGAGGACATCACAGTGTTGATTTTTTTTTTTTTTTTTTTTTTTTTTGAGATGGAGTCTCGCTCTGTCACCCAGGCTGGAGTGCAGTGGCACGATCTTGGCTCACTGCAAGCTCCATCTCCTGGGTTCACGCCATTCTACTGCCTCAGCCTCCCGAGTAGCTGGGACTACAGGCATCCAGCGCCACGCCCGGCCAATTTTTTGTATTTTTTTAGTAGAGACAGGGTTTCACCGTGTTAGCCAGGATGGTCTCGATCTCCTGACCTCTTGATCTGCCTGCCTCAGCCTCCCAAAGTGCTGGGATTACAGGTGTGAGCCACTGCACGTGGCCCGCAGTGTTGATTTTGTGTACAAAGTAGGATCTGTTCCAGTATACTCTAGTGAGATAATTCACACATAGAGAACAGTTAATTCTGACCTCATGAAAAAATTGCCCATATTTTGAGTAGGTTAGCTTGTCACCTTCTTTGCAAACCATGTGGTCATTTTCAATGTCTAATAAATCTTTAACCCTACAGCCTCTCTGGTTCCCAACTCATTGCAGATAGTATCCTCTACCATTAGGTAATTAGCTTTGTTGGCTGTCGGTATGTTATAAATACTCTCAGCAGATCGCTTTGGATGTATTTGGTAGATGTTTTCATTTCTCTTGAGAAGATCATCATTGTAAAGAGGCAAACTTGTCACCAGCCTTCCAGTGCATAACTTCATCGCACCCATTAACTGTGGACTCCCTGCAAACACAGTTGCAGCTGGAACTGGCCTTTTTATCCATGTCATAAGTTCCACTGTACCTGGGTCGTAGAATTCCTGTCACTCCGTTAATTGTGCCATTAATCTTGGAAAAAAGCTCTTTCTATAAACTGAGACCTACTATAGTAGGCACAGCCATGCTCAGGGAGAGACAACCACATTGGGTATACAGTTCTTAATCAGCACCACTTGAAAAGTGTCGTTCAAAGTTCAGAAGAACGTACACCAAATCCTGCTAACGTGCACACATAAGGAATCCAGATGTACTTCAAGCCTTCTATAACCATCACAAGAGAACCCAATAAAATAGTGTGAATTATGAAATAATTTCTCCAATAATGTCACCAATTCGTTCATCTTCAAGAGTAACAGCTTCTTTCAGGGATTTACCATTAATCCTCCTAAAAATAACTTGCAACATAGGAACAAAATAAATAATTAACACTAAAATATAAAAGGGTAATAAAGAAGACTGTGTCAATCACACACACACACAAAATCCTGAGATGGCCCCTGTAGAGATTCTTGACAGAGGAGCCAATTCATTGTAAAATTCTTAGCCATATTTGGTCCAAACTTAACTTCAAGGAATTTCAGCATGAGCCCGTTTTCTCTGTTTAGGACAAACATCTTCATTATAACATACAATGTCACTGTTAGAGTACACACCAAGTAAAAATTAATCACTTTCATTATTTTAGCTACAAAGTTTCCTTTCTTTAGATTCAGCAAAGGCACTTAGCAAGCATTGAGACTGCTACCAAACTTAATAAACAAGATACCAATAAAGGTTGATTCTCTAGCTGCAGTAAATATCCCAGGAAGAGAGAAAATACATAGATTTTATAAACTTCATAAACCTCATCACTTTGCTCCAGTGAAAAGATATCTAGCAGGAACAGAGTTATGGCTTGAAGAAACGGGAGAGTGGCTGTACTCCCCATCATCATAAATGTGTAAATTGAAGCACTCATCAGCAAGTAGCAAAACCTCTCTCCATAAGTATTTAAGTTGCTTTCTCATAGCCTGTAAGTCCAGTAACTTGGCATGCAAAATATGGTAGTGCCCAGTTTTCTCTTAAAGGAATGGAGTATTCAATTCTTGTATTATATCTACCCTGTTAATAATGACCCACGCAACAGTAAGCATTCCTGCTAGCCACGTTCCATTCATAAGCCAACTTGTAACAAACAAAGCAATAACATATATTCCTTACACTCCAAAAACAATGCCAATATAGAAATACTCCACCTCAATAATCTCATTGCTACCAGTGGCTTGATATAAAACGCTGGCAATAGGTTCTGGATATAGAAACATTTGCTACACTGCATTTATGCTATTCAGAGATACAGTTTTGTTATTGTGTGTCAGTTCATAAACACCTCTTTCAAATGAAGGCGCCTTTAACACATCTTTATGAGTAATAAATGCCACTGTCACCCTGAAATGTGATTTCCCGGTCAAGCTCCTGCCTGTTGGAAAACCAGAATTTCTGTTCGTGGTATACAGATAAGTAGAGATCATACATCATACCACCAGTAACTGCTGCAAGACAGCCAGTGAAAATCTTTGCAAAGCCTTGAAATCATACATGTCTTGGAGTTCCTTCAGAAACTGGAATGTCACTGATTTTCTCTTCTTTGGCAGATTCCTTATTTTCTGAAGATTTTGGCATTTTTCTTTAATGCAGCTCTACAATTGGTCCTTATTCATCTGCCTTTGTCCCCTCAGGGCGTGGGGCACCCCTCCAACTCCCTCCCGGCCTGGAGTTATCCTGCCTCCACCTGGCGGAACCCCCCAACCCTGGCCCACTCGTAGCCATCACGCCCCCACTATCTGACCTGCCCAATTCAAGGTATATTTTTGATGAAAAATGTTATAAATAAAGTAATTTTTTTTGAGACAGAGTTTCACTCTGTCACCCAGGCTGGAGGGCAGTGGTGTGATCTCAGCTCACTGCAACCTCTGCCTCCAGGGTTCAAGCGATTCTCCTGCCTCAGCCTACTGAGTAGCCGGGACTACAGGTGTGTGCCACCACGCCTGAGTAATTTTTGTATTTTTAATAGAGATGGGGTTTCACCATGTTTGCCAGCCTGTCTTGAACTCCTGACCTCAGGTGATCCGCCCACCTCACCCTCCCAAAGTGCTGGGCTTACAGGTGTCAGCCATCGCGCCCGGCCAAAAATAACTTTATATGGAAAGAAAATCTTGTATGGTAATTTCTTGCCCTAAAGTAAAATAGCTGATTGTTTAGGAAAGAGAAACGTAAGACAAGTCAGAAAGTCTAAGCATGCGGCAACCTATGTAAGTTGTAATAAGGTTCATGAAGGAGAATTTACAAGAGGGATTCTGTATGTGATTAAGTTGACTATAATTAAAAGGGAATTATTTATAATAATCTCTCTAGCATTAGTCCCCTATGTTAAAACAAGGTTTTCTTAAGGTACTCATTTGCTCTTAATGAATTACAAGAATGTTTCTTTTTAACTTTATAATCTTTTTTTTAATTCCTCAGACTCATATCTCAGAACTTCAACTTTTGCTGTGTCTCACTGCTTTCAGCTTGTTCTCCCCTTGAGAAGGGTTAAAATGAAGGCCTAAAACTCTCCTTTACCTTTTCATCAGCTCCCGTAACTTTTTTCCTCCGGTTATAACTATTGTTGTGGCCTAATGCTAAAATGTTTTATCTTAAAGTTGCAGAGAAGCAATATTTTCCTCCAGTTTAACTTGATTCTGTGCTCTGGGCTTTTCTTGATATGTCTAAATTTTGCAATGTGATCAGGACACTTGTCATACAGTTACTAAGAATTATGTATTTCCTTGCTATACTCCTAGCCTTGAACACATTCTTCCTGATTAAATTGAAGCACTTTCTTTCATCAGGTTTAACTTCCAGGTTATCTAATGGGTTTCCCATAAGGAGAACAACATGTTACGTTTTGTCGAAATAATTCCTATGCTGTTTTTTGGTTGGTTTGTTTGTTTTTGAGACAGGGTCTCACTCTGTCTACCAGGCTGAAGTGCAGTGGCACAATCTCGGCTCACTGCAGCCTCGACCTCCCAGGCTCAAGCAGTCTTCCCACCTCAGCTTCCTGAGTAGCTGTGACTACAGGAGTGTGCCACTATACCTGGCTACTTTGTGTATTTGTGGTAGAGACGGGGTTTCACTATGTTGGCTAAGCAAGTGTTGCCTTTATTGGGTTTTCAACTGCCTAGAAAAACAGATCTAAAAGGGTTAAGGTTTTTACATCCATTGTAACCTTCTATATTGCCTTTAACGTCTTCTGATGATCACTTTGGTTAAATGAGTATTATTTTATGATGACCTGTGACTCGGTTTTAATCAAATCCTTTGAGTATTTTAACATCTTTGACAGATGTCTTTAAAACTGAATCTAGAATTGTGTCTGACCTTTTGCCCAAAGCTATAAAAATTAATCACCGTAAGATTACAAAATCTTTTTGCAGCTTCCAGTCAGGTCACGGTCTCCAGCATCACTATCTCCAACCACTTGAAAAGGTCCTTATCAGGTGCTATTAACTAATATTTGTGCTGTTAAATTATACAGCTTTGACTCGTAGGTGCACATATCTTATCCAAAGAAGACATTGACTCCTGCCAGTATCTGACACCCCAACTCAAGTTAATCAGTCTTATGCAAAGAAGACATTGGCTCCTGCCAGTATCTGACGCCCCAACTCAAGTTAATCAGAGCCTTGTCTCTGGACCCAATCAAAGGTGACAACCAAAGTAAACTGCTTTTATGAGACACAGGGACAGGCCAGCATTCAAAACCATTAGGATTCATTTAATAATGCTGCCTTTATCTAAAATAATATAATTTGTTCTATGTCTTGATACTAAATAATTTAAATGTTTAATTACCTATAAGCTTCCTTTTCTGCCATTCTCAGAACTAGGCAGGGCTTATGACATTTTGATTTAAAACTTTGCTAATTCTTTATGTTTTGTTTCACCTCTAAAAATCTAAAACTATTCAATCCCTCCAGGCCCAGGGACTGTTACAGAAGAGATGTGACACAGTTTGGCTCTGTGTCTTCACCCCAATCTCATTTCAAATTGTAATCCCCACAAGTCAGAGGAGGGGGCGGATGGGAGGTGACTGAATCATGGCGCAGATTTCCCCCTTGCTGTTCTCACCATAGTGAGTTCTCGTGATTATTTGTTTGTTCTAAAGTGTGTGGCACTTCCTTCTCTCTCTCTCTTTCTCTCTCTCTCCTGCCACCATGTAAGATGTGTCTTGCTTCTCCTTCACTTTCCACTATGATTGTAAGTTTCCTGAGGACTCCCCACCCATGTGGAACTGTGAGACAATTAAACTCTTTTCTTTATAAATTACCCAGTCTCAGGTAGTTCATTATGGCAGTGTGAAAATGGACTGATTGAGAAAATTGATACCAGGAGAGTGGGGCACTGCTATAAAGATAACTGAAAATGTGGAAATGACTTTGGAACTGGGTAATGGGCAGAAGTTAGAACAGTTTGGAAGGCACAGAAGAAGACAGGAAGATGTGGGAAAGTTTGAAACTTCCTAGAAACTTGTTGAATGGTTGTGACCAAAATGCTGAAAGTGATATGAACAGTGAAGACCAGGCTGAGGAGGTCTCACATGGAGATGAGGAATTTATTGGGAACCGGATTAAAGGTCACTCTTGCTATGCTTCAGCAAAGAGACCCATGGCATTTTGCCCCTGCCCTAGAGATCTGTGGAACTTTGAATCTGAGAGAGATGATTTAGGGTATCTGGCAGAAGAAATTTCTAAGTGGTAAAACATTCAAGACATGACCTGGATGTTCCTAATAGCATATAGTCATATGTGCTCACAAAGAAATGATCTGAAATTGGAACTTATGTTTAAAAGGAAGCAGAGCATAAAGGTTTGGAAAATTTGCAGCCTGGTCATGTGGTAGAAAAGAAACACCCATTTTCCAGGGAGGAATTCAAGCCCAAGCCAGCTGCAGAAATTTGCATAAGTAATAAGGAGCCAAATGTTAATAGCCAAGAAAATGAGGAAAATGTCTCCAGGGCATTTTGGAGATCTTCATGGCAGCCCCTCCCATCATAGGCCCAAGGCCTAGGAGGGAAAAAAGATTTTGTGGGCCAGGCCTAGGACCCAGCTGTTCTGTGTAGCCTCAGGACTTGATAGCCTGCATCCCAGCCACTCCAGCTCCATCCATGGCTAAAAGGGGTAAAAAATACAGCTTGGGCTGTGGCTTCAGAGGGTGTAAGCCCAAGCCTTGGTGGCTTCCATGGAGTGTTGGGCCTGTGGGTGCACAGAAGGTAAGAGTTGAGATTTGGG